>NT_187582.1:0-67707 GCF_000001405.40 Homo sapiens
TAATAAACCATAACTGTAACCATTACAACTTTCAGTGGGTTGTTGAAATGGAGGATGATGAACTTGAGGACCCCTGAACTTCCAATTGCTGTCAGAAGTGAGGGTGGTCCTGGGGACTGTTTCCTAATTTCTGCATCTTCGTTCTCTGTTTCTCCTTCTCTTTCTCCTCCTCTTCCTTGAAAACTGCAGAAGGATATACCATGAGCAAGGATTCTGCCTACCCCAAGTCATCTCATCTCCCTCCATCAATGCAGCCCGAGCTGCCTGTTTCTTGTGTCTCATCCAGAGATATCCCGTGTGCTTCCAGGCAAATGCAAATGTCTTCTCCCACCAACCTCATTTTCTCCCATAATTAATAGCATGTTGTGCATACCCTATCCTTATTGCCCCATATGAATTTTTTGTGGATTTTCTAGTTTTCCTGTAATGAGCATGCATTTTTTAAAAATGAAGAAACAAGTGGGTTACACAGATTGGAAAGTATAGTGAGCAAGGCTCTAAGAAATGAGTAGTTAAGGGTAGTAGTAGTAAGCTTAGGGAGCTGTTGTTCCCTTACGTTTTGAGACAGGGTCTTGCTCTGTTGCCCAGGCTGAGTGCAGTGGTACAATCATGGCTTACTGCAACCTCTGCCTCCCAGGCTCAAATGATCCTCCTGTCTCAGCCTCCCAAGTAGCTGAGACTATAGATGTGCACCACTGTGCCTGGCCAATTGTTTTTTTTGGTAGAGATAGGGTCTTGCAATGTTGTCCAGGCTGGTCTTGAACTTCTGGGCTAAACAATACACCTGCCTTGGCCTCCCAAAGTGCTGGGATTACAGGAGTGAGCTATCACACCAAGGGGTGAGGTGGACTGAGGCCAGGCAAAGGTGAGCTGTGGGCCCTCGGTCCTGGGCACGGATCTCATCACTAGGAATTCCTCCTCCCCATTCCCCCACCAACGGGGCCACAGCCCCGGGAAAGGGGTGGCTCTTCTGGGTCCCCAGACTGCTCCCAGCTTTTCCTCTGTGGAGGCAGGTATGTGAGAAAGGATGCAGCCAGGCAGGTGCAACACACCTGGGCAGCCCGTGGCTGTGGCCATGGCCATGGCCGGTCTGCATGTGGAGGAAAAGATGGTGAGGTGAGACCCTGAGAAACAACTCTCTGATCTCATCCACCTCTCCCCTCCTAGGCGGGACGAGATGGATGCACCCTCTGCCGCAGCCACCTCTTCTGCAGGTGCCCGGCTTCTCCAGACTTGCTATTTTGGAGGGGCAGGTCAGTGGGAACGACCGACTGCCTTGCATCTCAGCCACTCATGGGCCTCAGAGTGTGGGCAGGGGCAGCTGCAGCCCTCTCGAGCCTCTCACTCCCTGCTTGGCCTCTGTAAGCCTGTCCGGGAGCAGCTCACAGAGCCCCTGTGGTGGAGATGAGTCACTTGTTCTAAAAATAAAAGAAGTGAAGTCATGAAATAGTGTATTTCCTTTTTAAGCCCGATGTGCCTGCAGGGGGATCCCCAGCAGTGTGCTGGCGGCAGGGACCCTGACAAGGTCTGGAGCCTCAGAGCGCACCTGCCCCCACTTACAAGCCCCGGCCTCGGGGATTGGGTGGAGTGTCCCCTGCCTCCAACGGCTCCCAGATGAGTGAGTAAAAGATGGCACGTAGACCAGGAGCGGGGGCTGACACCTGCAATCCCAGCACTTTGGGAGGCTGAGGTGGGAGGATCACTTGAGGCCAGGAGTTTGGGGCCACCCTGGGCAACATGGTGAAACCCTGTCTCTACTAAGAATACAAAAAAATTAACCAGCGTGGTGGCACATGCCTGTGGTCCCAGCTACTGGGGAAGCTGAGGTGGGAGGATTGCTTGAGCCTGGGAGGTCAAGGCTGTAGTGAGCTGAGATTGCACCACTGCACTCCACCTTGGGTGACAGAGTGAGACCCTGTCTCGACAAACAAACAAACAAACAAACAGACCGATGGCATGTAAATAGCACCCACATTGGGCAGACAGTCTTAGGCTGTAAGAGAGGGCAGAGTGCCCTGGAACACACACAAGGGAAGGAGCGCTGCTCTCTCTTGGGGTCTGTGGGAGGCTTTCTGGAGCAGGTGTCCCTAGAGGTAGGACTGGGGGGACTCTGCTAGGCTGGTAGGAAGGGAACAGCATTCCAGGCAGAAGGAACGGTGTGAGCAAAGGCCTGGAGGCTACAGAGCTCCCGGCAAGCTCAGGATATGATCCTCTGTAGGTCTCCCCAGACCACCTGGGGAGCTGGTGACACGTGCAGATTCCCAGGCCCGAAGACCAGCTGGACTCCAAGAGCAGGGCCCAGGAATATGACTAATAATTCCCCTGCCTGATTCCCATACCCTGCAAAATTTGAGACCCTCTGGTTCAGATGCTAGTGCATAGAGGAGGGGATGAAGAGACGTACGATGGCAAGGCAGGTTGGGTCCAAATTGTGAGGGTTTTGAGGGTTGTTTAGGAGTTTGGATTTTGGTGTACAGGCAGGAGGGGGCTATCAAGGGTGTTTAAGTAAGGGAGTGCTGCTCCTGGACCTGCTCCTGAGAATGGCTCCTGGGAGTGATGTAGGTGACTGATTGATGGGGTGGGACGAAGCTGGGCAGAGGCTTGGGTAGCTGGGACTGTAACAGTTATGTGAGAGGAAGCGGGAATCTGAGAGAGTTGCCGGGGCAAAATGTAGGCCCCCAGCCCCTGGTTCAGGGGACAGCCCAGGGATAGTCACCAGGGATCCAGCGATGTGTGTGTGTGGAGTGTGAGCAAAAGAGGGGGAATTACATGCTTGTTACCAGAAGTGGGGTCGGAGATGGGGAGAGAGAGAGCAGTTCTGGGTCCTGGAGCAGCAGGGCAGAGGGGTTCTGGAGATGCCAAGTGCTCAGGGCACAGAATGGGGCCCGGATGCTTGATGGGGGTATGGGGAAGTCCTTAGAGAAAACAGAGCCCAACAGTGGGCTTCAGGCACCCACTGAGGGTCTTGGGTGTGGTGCTGGAGGGGCCGGGAGGGAGGGAGAGGGTAGAGAGGGAGAAGGGATTCTGCACAGACTCACCTGGTAGGGAGGTTGTTTCAGGTATATGTTCAGAGCCAACGATGGCCTGGGCTTGAATCCCATGCCCTCCACCTCTACCTGGGTGGCCTGGGCACATGTGCTGAGCCCAGTCTGAAAGTATGAAATGGAAAATTTCAGAAATAAATAATTCCTCAGTTTTAAGTGGCATGCCATTCTGAGTCGTGTGATGAAATCCCATTCCATCTTGCTCAATCCCCCTTGAAGTGTGAGTGATCCCTTTGTCCAGCACCTCCACGCCTTGATGCTACCTGCCTGCAAGTTACTTGGGAGCCCTCTCAGTGTGGGATCCATTTGCTCCATACTGCAGGGCTTGTGTTTAAGGTACCCTCCTCCTCTTTTACTTAATAATGGCCCCAAAGCACAAGAGTAGTGATGCTGAGGTCGGGCGCGGTGGCTCACGCCTGTAATCCCAGCACTTTGGGAGGCCGTGGCAGGCAGATCACTTGAGGCCAGGAGTTTGAGACCAGCCTGGCCAACACAGCAAGACCCCGTCTCTACTAAAAATACAAAAATTAGCTGGGCGAGGCGGTGGGCACCTGTAGTCCCAGCTACTTGGGAGGCTGAGGCAGGAGAATTGCTTGAACCCAGGAGGTGGAGGTGGCAGTGAGCTGAGATAACACCACTGCACTACAGCCCGGGTGACAGAGGGAGACTCCGTCCCCTTACCACCCCCCCCCAAAAAAAGTAGTGATGTTGACATATTGTTACAATTGTTCTATTTTATTATTGGTTATTGTTAATCTCATTTGGTGTCTATTTTTTAGATAAAACTTTATCATGGTATGCATGTACAGGAGACATGTATATAGGTATGTATGTACATAAAAAGTGTATATGATACTATTCATGCCTTCTGGCTTCCCCTGGGGGTCTTGGAATGTGTTCCCTGTGGATAAGGGAGGACCACTGTACTCATAGAGACTGGGGTGCCAGTTACGGAGTTGTGGAGTGCTAGCCCAGAGCTTTGTGAGCCGGGAATGTGGTGGGGTGAGAGAGGGCTTGGCCAAGCTCGGCTGGGATTGCATGGGACATGGGTCTTGCTGGAAGGCAGTGACTGGTGTCTGCATCTCTCCTTTGAACTCCGGAGGTGGGAAGCTGGCTGGAGCCGTCCCCAGGGCAGAAAGAGGAGAAAGGGCATCAGTGAGCCCCTGTGCTGCCCTGTTAGGGGTGGCTAAGCGTGGCTAAGATTCTGCTTTTCCTGTAGGGAGGAGTTATTGTCTCCATTGTTAAGGATGGCAAAGGGAGAGTCCATGGATTGCAGGTGATGCAGGCAGCAGATGGAGGAGAATGAAGCTATTATCTGTTCTGAGCCTCTTTTGTTACACAGCTTCATCTAGTCCCTGACCCATGCACCCTTCTGGGAAACCTACCTCTAACCTCCTCACTCATAAGACAGACACAGGCTGCCCCACCTCCAAAAGTCTGGAAACACCGAGGACACACGGACAGCCTTTGTGTTGTCTAGAAGGCAGCTCTTTTCCCCAAATGCCTGTCCTCCCTTCCCTGGAATCCTTCTGAGGCTAGGACCCACAATGATGGCCTGGCCCAGCACCCCATCCTCCGCCTCCTCAAAAGCATTTGCTGCCTGTCGGGAACACAAATCCCTGTGACCTTTGGCTGTTCCTGTCATGTCCTCAGAAGGACAGAAATTAGCAGGGGAATCAGGCAGTGAAAAATGGCCACCCTCTCCCCCCACTCCCTCTTCTCACAGTCAACAGCAGGGCAGGACGAGGGCTTGGGCTTGGCTGCTATCAGGCATCTATATGGGGTGTCTTTATGGGTGGGAGGGGGTTTCACAATCCACCTTTTGTAAAGCCTTCTGCTCATGGGAGTTTGAGGTAAGCTGAGGTGGGCTGGAGCTGGCATGGGCAGGGGGCAGGTGATGCCATCTCCCAGGTGCCCTGAGGCCTCAGGCCTGAGTGAGCTGTCCCCAGCAGCCCAGGCCATCCCAGCAGTGATCTTAACATTGGCGGCAGCAGGTTCCTCAAGACGTCCTTCCTGATGTCTTCACCCACATCCCCAGGTCCCCCCTCACCCAGCCCCCAGTGTGATGGTTAATACCGAGTGTCAACTTGATTGGATTGAAGGATACAAAGTATTGATCCTGGGTGTATCTGTGAGGGTGTTGCCAAAGGAGATTAACATTTGAGTCAGTGGGCTGGGAAAGGCAGACCCACCCTTAAACTGGATGGGCACAATCTAATCAGCTGTGCCAGCGAGGCTAGAATATAAACAGGCAGAAAAATGTTAAAGGAGAGACTGGCCTAGCCTCCTAGCCTACATCTTTCTCCTGTGCTGGATCCGTCCTGCCCTCGAACATCGAACTCCAAGTTCTTCAGTTTGGGAACTCAGATTGGTTCTCCTTGCTCCTCAGCCTGCAGACGGCCTATTGTGGGACCCTGTGATTGTGTGAGTTAATACACTCCCATGTAGATATATTCCATCAGTTCTGTCTCTCTAGAGAACCCTGACTAATACACCTGGTATCCGGCGGGTGCTCACTGTGACAGTGTGGACAGCTGCCTGATTGCAGTCTTGAGCACCTGTCTTTCTGATGCCCTTTCTCCTCTTTCTGCCCTGGGGGCGGCTCCAGCCAGCTTCCCACCTCCAGAGTTGGAGTTCAAAAGGAGAGATGCAGCCAGCTCCTTCCCAGCCAGCAGATGGGCCAGGGGCCAGCGGAAGGGGAGGGAAAATCCTCGGACATGTGGCCTGGCATTTTGAACTCCCTGCACTTTGTGGGAAAAACAGGCAGTACAAGAGTAATATTCACCTAGAAGTAGAAAGTCAGGGCCGAGGGAAAAAAGCAGCTACGTTAGGAAGGCGAGTCCAGGGACAGATACGTTACCCACCAGGTCCTTCATGATTGCTGTAGCCAAGCTGCAAGTTCCTGGCGGCCAATGGGAGCGTGGAAAGAAGGAAAGGTTTAAGGTTCTCGTGGCCATTGGAGAAAATACTTTAGCTGCTCAGGAAGAGTAAATCTTTCCCTAGCTCTCATTTGTGAAAGAAATTTTCCTTAAGGGGCTTCACCTACAAGTCATCGGGAGTAACGGTGATTGGATTGGTCAGTGTTCTCAAGAGAAGCTGAACCCACAGGATGTGCTGATATACAGACAGAGATTTGTGATAAGGAATTGGCTTGAACCATGTTGGAACTGGCAAGTCCAAAATCCACAGGATGAGCCAACAGGCTGGAGAGTGAGGAGAACCGATGCCATGGTTCTAGTCTGAAGGCTGTCTGTGGTAGAAGCAGGTGGAGCTGACCTCACAGATGGAGCCTGAAGGCCTTCTGCAGCAGAATTCTCTCTTGCATTTGGGTTCTAATCAGGCCTTCCACTGATTGGGTAAGGCCCACCCACATTAGGGAGGGCACATTGCTTTACTGAACATCCTTCAGTTTAAATGTTCATCTCATCCAAAACACCCTCGCAGAAACACCTGGAATCATGCTTGACCAAATATCTGGGCACCCTGTGTCCCATCCAGGTTGCATTAGTCTATGTTCATGCTGCTAATAAAGACAGTACCCAAGACTGGGTAATGTATAAAGAAAAAGAGGTTTGATGGACTTACAGTTGCACGTGGCTGGAGAGGCCTCATTATCATGGCAGAAGGCAAAGGAGGAGCAAAGTCACATCTTGCATGGCGGCAGGCAAGAGGGAGCATGTGCAGGGGCATTCCCCTTTGTAAAACCATCAGATCTTGTGAGACTTATTCACTATCATGAGACCAACATGGGAAAAGCCTGCCCCCATGATTCAATTACCTCCCACCAGGTCCCTCCCATGACATATGGGGATTATCACAATTGAAGGTGAGATTAAGGTGGGGACACAGAGCCGAACCATATCACATGTTGACACATAAAATTAGCCACGACAGGGATGGGGAGTGTTGCCCCCATCTCTACAGCACACACAGCCCTGGACTGTCCAAATGGGTCCCCCAAATGCACTGGGTGCACCATGGTTCTGATTGGAGGAGAGATGAGTCTACTGCCCATCTCTGGGGCTGGCGTGCATCTCAGGGAGGTCTGAGATTCTTCAACTAGGCTGTTGACCATACAGTCACGTGGTGGCATCATTTTGTTGTGTTTTTTTTGTTTTTTTTTAATGAGATGTCAGGTTTGGAAAAGAAGAAGATGAACACATCAGATGCTTGAGTGATTTTAAGGGCAGACGCTTAGGCAAATGCCTGTTGGGAATCTTTGGCTCCCCCAGTCAGCCAATCAGCTCCTTCTCACTTATGAGCCAATGGAGCAAAGGAAGATGGAGTTGAGGAAAAAGGAGTCCCAAGGTCAGGAAGGAGAGAGAAGTCAGTTGAGGAGAAATGGAACCTTGCTTCACCTTAGAGCATTTGCATCATGGTGGTATTGTGTCCCACACCAACCTGCTGGGGCTGCCACAGGGAGCAGGGAGAGAGGGGAGAAAGTAGCTGAGATTCTGCTTCCTCCCAGCCTCCACTCTTACCCTGGAGCCTCCCATTTGCTGAACGTACCCAGAAGCCAGAGGGCAAAGGACTCTGGGAAATGTAGTTCCCTTTGGCATGTGCACAGGCAGGGCAGGGTTAGCAAACCACTTACATACCCAGATGATGGCTTACTCTTTTCCTTCAAGTGTCTGCCCAAGTGTCATCTGCTGGGAAATGCCTTCCTTGACACCAAACCACCCCCTCAACCCTGCCAACCTGGCCTGGCTCAGCACTCTCTATTCTTCTGCTAGCCTGCCTTTATTTTTCATTATAGAACTTAGTACCAGCTGATGTTGCTTTATGTATCTATTTATTGGATTGTCTGGTTCTATTTTTAATTGGATTATCTAGTTCTATTTTTTATTTATTATATTGTCTGGTTCTATTTTTTATTAATTGGATTGTCTGGTTCTGTTTTTATTTATTGTCTAGAATGCAAGCCCACAAGGGCAGGCCATCTGTCTGTCTTGCTCTCTGTCTTGCTCATTTGAGAACAGTACCTGGAACACAGTAGGTGCTCAACCACCATTTCTGGGTAGATAGAATCTTCTCCCAGGTCTTCTCTTCTTTGGGTACATATCCTTAGTTTCTTCAGCCATTCCCCAGGACATGCTTTCTGGCTGGCCCCTGCACTGGCCGGCTTCTCCTGGCCCAGCCCTCTGGGCAAGGCAGGACTGATGGTGAGGGCAGTCCCAAGGTGCCAGCACATCCTGCCTTGAATCCAGTGGCCAAGTGGCCATCAACAGACACAGGCTTAACTCAGCTTCTCTGCAGCTAGTTGAGCTCTCGGTTCTGTTCCATGTGCAGCTCATTGAGCGCTGGGCTCCAGGCCAGTTACCAGGGAGGAGAATGTGGGCATCACTCTTGAGGGGTTAACAGGTCATTGTAAGAGCCAGACACAGATGCATTCTCTACTTCTGAGGACAGTCCTGGGGCCAAGGCTTATTGAGCGATCCATATGGGCCTGGGGGCCTTTCTAAGAACATTCCATGCATCCCTTCATCTGCTCTTCACAGACATCCTTCAGGAAGGGGCTGTCATCATCCCTGGGCTTCAGAGAGGCAAAGCAACTTGCTCCCACCCTTGAGCTGGTCAATGGGCATCTGGGGTGCAGACCTGGTTGATCTGACTGGGGGGCCCTCATCCCTTCACCCCTAGGCAAGCTGTCTTCTGGGCACTGCCAGGCTGAATAGGCAGATGCCCACTACAGAGGGTCAAAGACCTGTGGGGACATAGGATGGGTGGGGAATTCTGCCCTGGTGACACTGAACTCAGCCTTGAGGCTGCAGAATGTGTTGTGGTGGTGGAAGGTGGGGGGCTTCCATCTGGGGGCAGGGCTGAGGACCTTGTGTAGGGTGGGACTGGGGAGGGTGGGTTTGGAGAGCTGGGCTGCTGGAGGAGGGGGATGCCTGGTTGCTGGATCCTGACTGCTTTCAGGAGAAATGAGCTCTTGCTTGCAAAGAAACATCTGTTTGGAGCGCTGTGTGCCTAGATGTTTTTACGCATGCCACACAGAATGCGGGAGAGCCTGACTCCACATTCTCTACGTATTTATTGCAAAATAACCTTATCCTAAGAATAACAGGAAAAATTTCACCCACATTCCCAGTACCCTGACAAATCAACTGTCTACATTTTTCCCGTTCCCCTCCGGGCCACACGCTTGTGCGGACATGACTTTGAAGCCACAGTCAAAGAGCAATTGTGTTTGTGCATTCATTTGTTCAGCAAAGACATTTCCCAAGTACCTATCTCCTCTGTATCAGGAAACTGGCTCCTAAAACGAATGGCCTATATTTTCCTTTAGAGTTTTACCACCTATGTAAATATCCTTTATTAATCAGGGTATATTAACTGTTTTAACAAGCAACCCACTAATTGTAGCACCCTAATTCAATACATGTGTATCTCTTGTTCATGACAGTGCAGGGCAGGTTGGGTTGGGCTCTGCTCCATGCAGCCATGCAGGGACCCAGGCCTTTTTTTCTGAATGGCTCTGCCATCCCCTACAGCCATGGAGTCCTCCATTTGGTGCACTGCATTGGATCGGCAGAGGAGCAAACAGAGAGAAGGAGCAGACTGGATTGTGTAGGAAGCTTTTTTCGGCAGGCCTGGAGGTAGTAAACATCACTTCCATCACATTCTACTGGATGGAACACAGACATGTACCTGTACCTACCTGCAAGGGAGGCTGGGAAATGCAGTCCAGCTGAGTGCCCAGGAATGGGGGAGGAACAGGTTTGGTGATCATCTGGCCAGCATCTACAAGCTTACAACACATTGTTTAGTTCTAAAAAATTGAAGGAAGCACAAAACAAATTGTGTAAGGAAATGGCAATGTTGTCACCAAGAGTTGAAAGCTCCCAAAAAAATATAAAACACAAAGGCCAGCTGAGTTCTGGCAAACTCAGGGCAGCAAGCCAGGCTCTGCCCCTCTCTGAGAGAATTGAAGGTCAGACTGTCAATGGGCAAAGGCATGAGTGAGCCCTGGGAAACTGAGGTCTCACGATAGCTGGGCTATCTGATGAGGCTGACCTCTGGGATCATGGCAGAAGGATGGCTAAAGAGAGCAGGTTGCTTTGCATCATCTGCTTCTAAGCTCACCGTGGCCAATTCCTGCTCTCAAGAATAGATCAAAGTTCTCAACTGGTGGAGGCAGCCCAGCAGGAGAAAGAGCAGGAACTTTGCCAGCCCCTGGTCAACATAAGCCAAGCGAAGATAAGATCCTCACCCCATACTCTGTCCTCAGGTCAAAAGGGGGCACAGTGGCAGCAGAAATCTTGTCACATGGCTGTCATCTGTAACGGCAGCGTTCTATGTGGAGTGCGTCACGGCCATCAGTGATCTTCTGGGGGACTGCCTTCACCTGCTGCTTCCTGTATGTCGAGTCTTCTCTTTCTTGGTTTACCTTCTCAGTTGGGTGTAGCACATCCTTCAGTAGCTTTCTGAGAAAGTGTGGCTCGTAGGCAAATTTGTTAGAGACCTCGCCAGCTGAAGGGATCTGTATTCCACCTTCACACTTGCTTAATAATGTGGCTGGCATAGAAGGTTGGGTTAGGAAATAATTTCCCTTCAGAAGCTCAAAAGCATTGCTCCATTGTTTTCTTGCTTCCAGTGGGGCTGCTGAGAATTCTGAAGCTGTTTTGATAACCAGCCCTGGGTATGTCATGTGGTTTTTCTCTCTGGAAGTTTGTAGAATCTTCTCTTTGTCCCAAGTGTACTAAAGTTCCACAATGATGTGTCCATGGGGTAGGTCTATGTTCACCTCCTATGCTGGGTATTTTGCGGGCCTTTTTTTTAGTGCCAGGGAATTACCCTGAATTATTTCATTGATCATTTCTTCCCTGCAATTTCCTCTCTCGTATACATCTATAGCTCCTGTTATTCCTGTTATTTGGATGTTGGATCTTCTGTACTTATTTTCTAGATTTTCTCTTTTTTTATTTTTTTGAGACAGAGTCTCACCCTGTTACCTGGGCTGGGGTGCAGTGGTGCAATCTCAGCTCACTGCAACCTCCACCTCCCGGGTTCAAGTGATTCTCATGCCTCAGCCTCCCAAATAGCTGGGATTACAGGTGTGCGCCACCTCATATCTGGTTAATTTTTATATTTTTAAGTGGAGATGGGGTTTTGTCATGTTGGCCAGGCTGGTCTGGAACTTCTGACATCAAGTGATCCACCCACCTCGGCCTCCCAAAGTGTTGGGATTACAGGCGTGAGCCACCACAACCATTGTCCTTATTTCTCCTCCTCATTCTTGCCATCCATCCTCTCCTCTTTTCCTTCCTCCCTCTTGCCCCCTCTCTCTTTTCTTCTCTATCTCTTTCTAATCCCCTTTCCCTCTCTTCTTTTTTTTTTTTGGCCGGGTGCAGTGGCTCACGCCTGTAATCCCAGCACTTTGGGAGGCTGAGGCGGGTGGATCACAAGGTCAGGAGTTCAAGACCAGCCTGATCAATATGGTGAAACCCCGTCTTTACTAAAAATACAAAAATTAGCCGGTTGTGGTGGCGGGTGCCTGTAATCCCAGCTACTTGAGAGGCTGAGGCAGGAGAATCGCTTGAACCCAGGAGGCGGAGGTTGCAGTGAGCCAAGATCGCGCCACTGTACTCTAGCCTGGGTGACAGAGTAACTCTGTCTAAAAAAAAAAAGAAACAAAAAAAAAGTGTTTTTTTTTTTTTTTTTTCTGAAAAGTCTGTTTCCACCCAGTTATGTGTTTCTGTTGATGTTTTTGTCTCTGCTTTTCATGTTGGAGGCTGTTCACAGAAGTCTGGTAACCCTTGGCTGTCAGGTTATGACAGGTTTGGAGACCAAAGAGCTCACTGGAAGTTTAAGAATGGAGCTTGGCCACCATACCCTTCGTTGTAGGATGATATGGGATATTTTTTGAGGTTCCCTTGAGTTGTGGGATTTATAAGGGCAACTGCAATGAGTTCCAAGGCCCGGAATTCCAAGTTCTGGGTGCATTCAATGTCAGATGGTCACTAGGCCATGGCACTTAGGAATGCTTCTAGGTTATATCTTTTTTCTTAAAGAGAAAAAAGAAAGGCCTCTCTGCTGGGGCTCCCTCACTGACCTGTACTGTGAATTCTCTGAAGCCTCTGTCTGCACCCCAGTCCTTGCCCCCAACCCTCCCGATGTCCTGCATCCATTCCTGCTGACTCCACTTTAAAGCACCCTGGTTTGTGGCCCAGAGCTCTCCCTGGCTATAGTGGCCTCTTTTTTTTTCACTTAATAGAATTTTAAACCGGAAGTGTAATTTACATATGGTAAAAGACATAAATGCTAAAGTGTATATATCTCAACGTATATATTCATGTAACAATCAAATTAGAGACCAAGTTACAGCATTTTCTAGCATATCAGAGGTCTCTCTTAGGGACTAATTTCACTAACTTCTCTCTCCCCCAGGTACCCACTGTCCTGATTTCCATCACCATAGATGAGTTTGGCCTGTTTTTGAATTTTGTATGAGAGAAACATACAGCATGTTCCTCTTTTCATGTCTGGCTTTGTCTCTTAGCATGGCGCCCATCAGGTCCATCCATGGCTGTGTATATCCACGTCCATTCCTTTTCATGGTGAATGGGCTTCCACTGGGTGGACATGCAAGGTCTACTGTGGACAGACATCTTGGTTGTTTTTGGGTTTTGATGATTTTGAATAAAGCTGCTATGAACATTCATGTACAAGTCTTTTGATGGACACGTATGCTAAGTTTTGTGCTATGGGCTTAGGGTAGATCTGCTGGGTCCTAAGGTAAGTAGCAGCTTATCTTTATCAGAAGTTGTCTTACAGATTTCCAAAATGGCTGCACCTACATACATGCCTGCAAGCGTGCGTGAGTCCCAGTGGCTCCAGACATGGTCAGTGTTATTTATTTATTTATTTATTTTGAGATGGAGTCTCGCTCTGTTGCCCAGGCTGGAATGCAGTGGTGTGATCTCAGCTCACTGCAACCTCCATCTCCCAGGCTCAAGAGATTCTCATGCCTCAGCCTCCCAAGTAGCTGGGACTACAGGTGCATGCCACCACACTCAGCTAATTTTTGTATTTTTAGTGGAGATGGGGTTTTGCCATGATGGCCAGGCTGATCTCGAACTCCTGACCTCAGGCAATACCCCCATTTTGGCCTCCCACAGTGCTGGGATTACAGGTGTGAGCCACTGTGCTGGCTGGTCAGTCTCTTTAATGCTCACCATACTGGTCGTGGTGTGGCTACCTGCTGTGACCAGCATGTGTTTTAACCAATCCTAAAGTGCATATTCAATACCAGTCCCATAAAGAATCCCTTGCCAGGGATTAGCGACATATTATTTCTTCTGGAAGCCTTCCCTGGCCCCAGGCTGGGTTAGGTGACCTCCTTGGGGCCCCCACAGCCCTGTGCACCCGCCCCTGTCACACATCTTGTACTATCATCACCTGCTTGAGTTTTCCTCTGGTCTGTGAGCTCCCTGTGGACTGAAATGGAGTCTTATTGTTAAAATCTTGTTGTATAGCACAGATATGGTACAAAAAAGGCACCCAAATATCTATCTGTTGGAGGGAAAGAAAGAAGGAGGGCGGGGAGGGAGGCAAACAGGAAGGAGGGAACAAAGGGAGAACAGAAGGAAGAAAGAAGAAAGAGCAGGGAAGGGAGGAGAGAGGGGAAGGGAAGGGAGGAGGGATGGAAGGAACAGAGAAAAAGGAGGTAAGAGAGGAAAGGAAGAAAGGAAAGCAGGGAGGGAGGGCTGGAAGGAGGGAATTTAAAAAAAGAGGGAAGGAGGGAAAGGAAGGAAGGAGGGAAGGTGGGCAGAAGAGAAGGAAGGAGGGTAGGTGGGGAGAAGAGAAGGAAGGAGGGAAGGAGGGCTGGATGGGCAGCACCTCGGGGCAGGCCTTGTGTGAGCCTCGGTGCAGCGCTCCTGGCCACCTGTGCACACAGACACACGATCCCATGGGAGCTGGTGGCCAGCACTGCTGTGTGTAAACAGAGCCTGGCCCCTTCTTCCAACGCTGGCCTTTGCCTCCCGGTGGAAACCCAAGCTCCAGCCTGGGACAAGGGTTGGCAGATGTCTGTGAACAGGGCTGTCTGCCTTTGCCGGTAAGAGTCCTCAGACAATGGAGTGGCCTGGCTGGGAACTCCCTCCGTGCAGAGACTTTGACAGACCCAGGTCCCTACTCTCCCACCTCTTGGAGCCATCTCTGCGAGCCTGTGCCTTCTGCCTTCCCCTGAGGCCCCAGCACCAGTTCCAGTTCCCCTCCTGTCCAAGCCCATTGCTGATGGGTGATGATCAGGGCCTCCACCTTGCACAGCGTGGGCCAGGAGCTGGCCCGTGTGGTCTCTTTGTTCACGCATGGCCTCATGACAGCCTGGTGTGAGGCTTTCCTCCAAAGCACCCCTGAAAGGTGGAGACACTGAAGCCAAGGAGGTCAAAGAGCAGCCTCAGTCCCTAGTGTCTCTGCCGTGAGGGCAACCGGACCCAGATGTGGCTGCAGTTCTGAGCCCATCAGCATCCCCCTCACTGTGCATGCTCTGAAGGCAGGCGTGGGCACTTGCAGGGCACGTGGCACGTCAGAGAGAGCCCATCCCGACAACTCACTTGCACTTAGTGTCCTTGGATACTGATTCTGTGAGGACCGTCCTCTCTCCTGGAGACCGACCACAGAAGAGAATGCTAACATATTGAGTGCCCTACAGACCAACTTGTCTAATCCTTATCATCACCGTGGCCAGCATCACCTCCAGGGTGTAAGTGAAGGCATCAAGGTGGCTTTCCGAGGTCCAGGCGGCCGCAGTGTGTGGAGATGGGCCTACCTGGTGCTACCCTTCTGGTTTCCTTCCCTCCGTGTCTGGACCTGTGGGAAGTGTCTCTCCCTTGGATAGCAGGAGAGGTGGAAAAGACCCCAGGGATGTCTGTCCTGTTCTCTTCTCAGTGCGCCCGCATAATTGGTCTGCACTTTCCCTGCCAGGCCTCAAATGGGAGAATCAGATCAACAACCGAGAATCCTCTAGCTCGGGCGAGACCCCGTGGCTGCAGCCGTACACACTAGCCGTTCACAAGGCCATCACACTCTAGGTCTTGGTTCAGAGGCTACTTCTTTCAAAGGGGATGCATTCATAAGGGCCCCTTATCTGTGCCCTCCCTGGCTGTGCTCCTTCCCCTTTTCCTTCCTCTAACAGCCACTGTGAAAGCCCAACCACAGGCTCTGGAGCAGATCCACACGGGACTCAAGAAGGAAGCTTGTCTTTCTCTTGCTGGTGCAGTTTTCACCTAGCACCTTTCCCCGAACTCCCCACCCCAACTCCACACAGAGGGGCACCGAGTCTCATGACCAGCAGCATGAATGCACACAAGGCTGGAGGGAAGGCCGGGGGATCTATTTCCAGTGTTGTCACTGAGCCGGTTTTAAAATTGAGGGGGAGATGAAGAGGCTTGTTCTCACTGTGGCCGCAATAACGCTGCATAACACACCATTCTCAAGCTCAGAGGCATGCAGCAATCAGAATTTATGTCCTGTGTGGGTCTGTTTGGCTGAAGTGGCTCAGCTCCAAGGGACAGGTCTGTGGGTTGGTTGGGGTTTGGCTGATCTAGGCTGGGCTTGGTTGGGTTTGGCTCTGGGCCACGGCATGGTCCATGTGTCCCCTCTTCCTGAGACCAGCAGGCTCCCTGGGTGTGATCTTCTCACAGCACTGGTTGAAGTGCAGGGGAGCAAGCCCAGTCCCAAACCCTCTTTCTTTTTTTTCTTTTTTGTTTTTTTTTGAGATGGAGTCTTTCTCTGTCACCCAGGCTGGAGTACAGAGGGGCAATCTTGGCTTACTGCAACCTCTGCCTCCTGAATTTAAGCAATCCATCTGCCTCAGCCTCCTGAGTAACTGGGATTACAGGCACCCACCACCATGCCTGGCTAATTTTTGTATTTTTAGTAGAGTCAGGGTTTCCCCCCATGTTGGCCAGGCTGGTCTCGAGCTCCTGACCTCAAGTGATCCACTGGCCTCGGCCTCCCAAAGTGCTGGGATTACAGGCATGAGCCACCACACCCGGCCACAAAACCCTCTTTCCAACCTTATTTGCCCCTATCAGCAAACTCACCTGGTTCAAGATGAGTCCCATGGCCAAGCCATGCCTGTGGGGAAACTGTAAAGTCATGTGGCAAAGAGTATGGATAAGGGGCAGCCTATAGGATAGGCGCCATGTTGCCATCTGGGGCTTTCCAATGGCTTCGAGCTGAACTCTGCCCTGAGCTGAACTCTGCCCTGATTGAAGTGTGCTTGTTGGTGGAGAGAGGATTGGGTCTATGGATGCTGGAAATGGTGGATTTGGGTTCAAGGCCTGGTCTGGTCACTTCCAAGCTGTGGGAGCCTGGGCGAAGCTTGTCTGAGCCACAGTTTCCCTGTGTGTAAAACGAGGGGCAATGAGTCTGTACCTAAGCTCATGCTGAGAATTGAGCGAGATGGACAGCCCGAAGCAGAGTGCCTGCCCCAAGGGATTCCTGCAAATCATGGGTGCCACAGTGTCCCTAAGGAAAGTGTGTTTTTGTTGGTGAAGTTCTCAGGACATTAGTACCCAGGCAGAGTCGGGGCATCTGGCCTCAAAGTACAAGAGAAGCAAGGAGAAATCACACAGGTAAAGCAGGGCTTACTGGCTGGGCACGGTGGCTCACACCTGTAGTCTCAGCACTTTGGGAGGCCGAGGTGGGCAGATCACAAGGTTAAGAGATCGAGACCATCCTGGCCAACATGGTGAAACCCTGTCTCTACTAAAAATACAAAAATTAGCTGGGTGTGGTGGCCAGCGCCTGTAATCCTAGCTACTCAGGAGGCTGAGGGAGGAGAATCGCTTCAATCCGGGAAGTGGAGGTTGCAGTGAGCCGAGATCACACTACTGCACTTCAGCCTGGGCGATAGAGTGAGATTCCGTCTCAAAAAACAAAAAACAAAAGAAGGGTTACCTTGTGGAAGTTTCAGAACCAAGGGGCCTCTTGAGACCCCTAGTGAGAGACGTCCCAGCTGCTCCAAAACGGATGAGGACAGTCAAATGCCCCATTTCTCCACACCCACCCAGCCCCCTCAGCCCCGGTCTGGCCAAGGCACCTCCTATACAGCCTTGTCAGCATCACACCAGGCTGCCGAAGGAAAGCCTGCTGTGACGCCAGCACTTCCATGGTGTCTAACGCTGGGGTCTCAGGTGTGACTTGGAGGTGGCTGGGATAGCTGACAGGTTCACCCATATCTGTGATCCAGCGTTTCTTTGTCTTTATGGGAAGGCCCCAGTCCCCTTTTGAATCTGATGAAAGCAATTGAACTTTCATCCTCTCACAAAACATCTTTTGGGTATAACTTCAAGCAGCTCGTGTACTCCCTGAAGCCCATTTTCCGGGTGACATGAAGACCTCCCATCTAGGAATGAGTCAGGGGGTCCAGGAGGGCCCTTGCCAGCCAAGGCTGGGAATTTGAGCGTGACAATGACTAGTGTCAGTAATGAAGATAAATCAATGATCAAAGCATGATCAGTGAGTCCACCCTGACCAAGAATGAGTCGATAAATTTATAAATGGCAGGGAAAAGAAAGGCCCCCTCCTTTTATTTATTTATTTATTTATTTATTTTTTGTTGAGACATAGTCTCACTCTGTCGCCCAGGCTGGAGTGCAGTGGCACGATCTCGGCTCACTGCAACCTCTGCCTCCCAGGTTCAAGCGATTCTCCTGCCTCAGCCTCCCAAGTAGCTGAGATTACAGGTGCCCGCCACCATGCCTGGCTAATTTTTGTATTTTTAGTAGAGATGGGGTTTCACCATGTTGGCCAGGCTGGTCTCGAACTCCTGACCTCAGGTGATCTGCCCATCTTGGCCTCCCAAAGTGCTGGGATTGCAGGCGTGAGCCACCGTGCCTGGCTGAGAAAGCCCTTCTTTACAGTGGAATGCCAGCAGACACACGTAGAAGGAACAGTAGTGTTAGGAAGTGGCAATTTTGCAACCATCAGAGTAATATATGATTTAGGCAAGAGTCACGGTCATGGATGGATGTGGACTGTTGGGGCCAAGTTTAAGAAGGATGAGGTTATTTCAATGGCCTCAAAGTATCTTGCCACAAATGACTTACGACTTCCAAAGGAAAAAATGGTAACTTTGCAGTAGAAAACACGACCTTGGCCGGACGCGGTGGCTCACGCCTGTAATCCCAGCACTTTGGGAGGCTGAGGCGGGCGGATCACGAGGTCAGGAGATAGAGACCATCCTGGCTAACATGGTGAAACCCCGTCTCTACTAAAAATACAAAAAATTAGCCGGGTGTGGTGGCGGGCGCCTGTAGTCCCAGCTACTTGAGAGGCTGAGGCAGGAGAATGGCGTGAACCCGGGAGGCGGAGCTTGCAGTGAGCCTAGATTGCGCCACTGTACTCCAGCCTGGGCGACAGAGCCAGACTCCGTCTCAAAAAAAAAAAAGAAAACACGACCTTAACGAAGTGATCAAAGGTCACGTCACCAACACTGGGGTGAGCTGACATCAAGTGCCTGCCAGGACTCAAGGAGGGCACAGCATCTATTCTGTGTGTCCTGTCCCCAAAGACACAGTACCTAAATCAAATAAAGGAAACATCAACCAGACACAAATCCAGGAACAAGTGCAAATACCTCACTTGTCCTGTTCAAAATGCTAATATAAGAAAGACAAAGCAAGAAGCAAAGAATCGTTCAAAATAAAAGGACGTGGGCCAGGCGTGGTGACTCATGCCCGTAATCCCAGCACTTTGGGAGGCCGAGGCGGGCAGATCACCTGAGATCAGGAGTTCGAGACCAGCCTGGCCAACATGGTGAAACCCTGTCTCTACTAAAAATACAAAAATTAGCCGGGCATGGTGGTGGGCCCCTGTAATCCCAGCTGCTTTGGAGGCTGAGACAGGAGAATCACTTGAACCTGGGAGGCAGAGGTTGCTGTGAGCCAAGATTGCACCACTGCACTCCAGCCTGGGTGACAGAGTGAGACTCCATCTCAAACAAACAAACAAACACAAAATAAAAGAATGTAAAGAAACATGATGCCACATGCAATGATTGATCCTGTTTTGAAACAACATGCTGTGAAAACATTGGGAAAATTGGAAGAACGTGAGCAGGGACTCTTCGTTAGATGATAGTTTTGTTTCAATGGTGATTTTTCTGCATGTAATGATTATTGAAGATTATGGTGGCTGGATAAGAATTGAGGCCCTTCCCTTTGTCTCTTGTCCTCTCAGTGGCCACCTTGCTGGCAGAACAGGATCTGGGATCGACATCGGGCTTGACAGAGCCCTGTTCCTTATTCTCCCAGCCAGATGCCTCATGGTGACCCCAGAGTACATGGGGCTCCTCCTGCCACTCTCCTGAGAATACCTTGTTCTCTCTTTTCACCACCCCTGCCAATGCCACCCATGCCCCAACCCCTTCTCCATCACTGAGGAATCTTGGCTTTCTCATGCATCCTGATGCCTGGCACAAAGTGTTCCTGACAAGGTGACAAAGGACACAACCCACAGTCCACCTTCCTGTGCTCACTGGTGTGGGAGGACATTGTCCAGCTGTGCGGATTCTTTACACCAAGAACCGATATGAATGAAGACATTTGGGGTCCTGCCTATTTCCTCATGAGACCCCATCACGGACACACCCAGACAATGTAGGTGCCCACAGGGGGGCATCTAAAGCTGTCGACTTGCTCCTCTTAAACCTGACGAAGACGCCACCAGACCTTCCCATCTGCCTCACAGCACAGGGGACGGCTGTGAGTTCCCTTTACGCAGCTGAGATCTCAGGTTTCAAACCATGTGCTGGCTCCTAATTTGATGCAGGTAAATGCGTTTCAAACCCTTAGTGAGTCGGCCCCTGCGGTGTGTGCAGCCTCGATGAGACCAGATGAGGGAAGCTTGGATCTGGCCGGGCAGATGTCTTCCGAGACTATCCTTCTGCACAGACCGACAGCTGGGCTGCTATTGCGTTATCAGTTGGGCTCATCACACATGACCGATGAAGCCGGGGAGACATCATGTCAGTCACCATGTCCTGCAACGCTTCAATCTTCGTAGTTTGATGATTTCATTTCAGATCTCTGCATCTTCGCAGGAATCAGCTGGTGAACTCATATGTCTAAATACCTCTTCCCTGTTATCTTTCACTTTAATATCTAAGACCTCCCCAAATTGCCTTTATTTATGGATAAAACAGACCATTTCTCCCTCCTAACAGTAAACAGTGTTCGCTAAGAAATGAACTATTTTCAACGATGAATTTCAGCGATTTTCCATTTTCCTGGACCTAATTGAATGAGTAGATGCTTTATCAGCAATGGCTCATGACAAAATGGATGCGTGCTCCAAAATCGCAGCCATGCCAAATGCATTTTGCTTCTTTAATGTTTTCTGATCATTTCCAGAGCGGCTTTTGTCACGGGAAGCTCCATGGGTCATGAGTGACTCTTCTCTATAACTGAATTCTTGTCCCTCCCCAGGTTGGGGAGCAGCCTTGACAGGCTGCGATGTCCATTCTTTATAAAGTCGTATCCCAGCATTGGAAATTGGAAAGCAGAAGTCTTTAGGACACCACGGCTGGCTTGAACCTTTGGCCTTTTGAGGGTGTCCGTTGGCGTCCATCACCTACCACTTATGTTCTCACATTTCAAACCATGTGCTGGATTCTAACCCCACACGGTATCATTCTCTGAATCCGTGTTAACCCCAGCTGCACACGGATTAATTATGGATGATAAAGAGACTCTGGGCTAATGCTACAAAGAGCTCCAGGCTGAGCCAGACTCTCTGGGCAAACTTGTAGCATATTTAATGGAGAGGGTCAAGTTAGCACAGACTTTTATTTTGCCCTGGGTTTTGAGAAATTATTTTCACCAAGAAACAACTGTAGCCAAGCACAGCCTGGGCGGAGAAGAGAGGCCAGGCCAGCAAGGGTGGCACAGGGTGCAGGAGGGGGCCCAGGGGTGGTGGAGCCGGGGTGTGCGGCGGGGCCATTGTCACTTGAGTTTTATTCAATGTCATGGTTCTACTTTTATTTCAACTTCTTCCTTACATCGGTGGCTCATTTTGTAGTTGCAATTTTGTCTTCTTTTTCTTTTCTTTTTTTTTTTTTGAGATGGAGTCTTGCTCTGTCGCCCTGGCTGGAGTACAGTGGCGTGATCTCAGCTCATTGCAACCTCCATCTCCTGGATTCAAGCGATTCTCCTGCCTCAGTCTCCCGAGTAGCTGGGATTACATGTGTGCGCCACCACGCCCAGCTAATTTTTGTATTTATTTATTTATTTATTTATTTATTTATTTATTTATTAGTAGAGATGGGGTTTCACCATGTTGGCCAGGAAGGTCTCAAACTCCTGACCTGCCTCGGCCTCCCAGAGTACTGAGATTACAGGTGTGAGCCACCATGCCCGGCCTCAGTTTTGTCTTGTTTTTCTTAAAGAGCCCCTTGTCAAGTTATTTAAGCTCCAGAAGAACCTGCAACTTTTACACCACCACAGAACTAAGAGGACCTTGACCTGTGTTTTATAACTTATGGGGCTGGTATAAAGGGCTTCTGACGGTTTTATCCTGCTTCCAACAATTTGGTGGGGGTAGAAGAGGTTTCCTCTGGGAAGTGGTTGGGAGTGGGGTACAAGTGCTGCTTCTGCCCCCAGCTCCTCTGAGCTGGCCAGAGGAATCCTTCAGCCTGAAGCTCCAGCTTCATGGCCCCCCACTGCAAGGGCCCAGGAATTCGCTCTCATGGTTGTGCGTATGTCTTTATATTTACCAATGTAAGATGTTTTATTGACAATAGGGAAAGTGTCTGTCTCTCCTTTCTAATTTCCCTCTATTGGGGGAGGGGAGGATCTGGAGGTTCCGGGTGCTGGCAGGGTCTAGGCAAGGGAAGTGGGTTTGCTGGTCATGTTTGTGGAGTTCTGGTGACTTCTGTAGAGAGCTGAGCTGCCGCTGGCCCCAGGCTGGCTTCTAGAGACACACCTGCACCCA
The DNA here is from genome assembly GCF_000001405.40 of Homo sapiens. Taxonomy (NCBI): domain Eukaryota; kingdom Metazoa; phylum Chordata; class Mammalia; order Primates; family Hominidae; genus Homo; species Homo sapiens. The sequence continues at coordinate 21,987 of NT_187582.1, forward strand.
CTGGGAGGTCACCCTAGCGTGGCCACAGAGCAGTGCTGGAGGGGAAAGCGTCTCACGGCCCAGGCCCTGGGTGTGTGTGGGCAGGGCAAGTGAAGTCTGAAATGAGTGGAGCTGAAGTTAGGCGGGAGAACATTCGACCTATCACCTGATGTGCGAGGTTGTGAGTGGGTGATTCAGTTCCCACAGAAGCTCTGGTCAGAAAGAAAGGTCTTTGCTTTCAGAAATATACTCCACATTGCAGAGGATTTGATCGCAAACACACCACACTACCCTCTGTGCACTTTCCTCTTTCAATGAGAATCATGGCAAAATAAAACTTAGCAGAGTTCCTGGGTTTGCAGAGCACCTGCATAAAAGCACATCTCTCTCTGAATAAAACATGCACACACATCCTAAGGCACTTGATCCCTTTCTTTTTTCTTTTCTTTTCTTTTTTTTGAGATGGAGTCTCGCTCTGTCACCCAGGCTGGAGTGCAATGGTGCAATCTTGGCTCACTGCAACCTCCACCTCCTGGGCTCAAGTGATTCTCCTGCCTTAGCCTCCTGCGTAGCTGGGATTACAGGTGCCCACCACCAAGCCTGGCTAATTTTTGTATTTTTAGTAGATGCAGGGTTTTGCCATGTTGACCAGGCTGGCCTCAAACTCCTGATTTCAGGCAATCTGCCCACCTCAGCCTCCCAAAGTGCTGGGATTACAGGCGTGAGCCGCCGCGCCTGTCCCCGATCCCTTTTAGAGTGTGTGTTGCATCTTGTCTTGACACAATCTGGTAGCTCCAGACAACAGAAAACACAAGACTGCCCCAGTGCAGTGAAACAGTCTGGAGACACGGGGAGAACTTCTATGGTAGATCCATCAGTAACTCAAGGTATTGGGTGGGAGAGAAATTCGATTCCATAACTATGTAGCTCAATCCAGTGTAGTAACAGATGAAAAAATGCATCTGAATGCATCTGTTGCATATTCTTTTGTTTCACATCACTTCTGTGTATAAATGTGTGTGTGTGTATATATATATATATATATATATATAAATTTTTTTTTAAATGGAGTCTTGCTCTGTCACCAGGCTGGAGTGCAATGGCATGATCTCAGCCCACTGCAACCTCTGCCTCCCGGGTTCAAGTGATTCTCTTGCCTCAGCCTCCTGAGTAGCTGAGATTACAGGCGCGCACCACCATGCCCAGCCTAATTTGTGTATTTTTAGTAGAGATGGGGTTTTATTCTGTTGGCCAGGATGGTCTCGATCTCTTAACCTCATGATCGACCTGCCTCGGCCTCCCAAAGTGCTGGGACTACAGGCGTGAGCCACCGTGCCCGGCTAATTCTGTATATATATGTATATATATTTTTTCAGAATGATTGACTATTCCAGAATTAAATGTGATGAGAAGTATCCTTGTAGAAGCCAAAAGAATAAGCTGAAAGGCGTAAGGCTTTAAAATATCAAAATCCCTCTTCATATATCACGATAGAAACAAAAACTCTGATAGTCAGAATCATGAACGAAACTGTTTTAATCCACCAATAATAATGAATTTCAATTACCCATGTTTTGGAGTAAAATCGAATTATCTTTCTATTCTCTTTACAGGAAAAAATTATAATTATAAAAGTATTGTCATGTTAGGAGGTGGTAAAACAGTATGTAACCCAAAACAGAGAAAAATGGTATTATAGAAATGGGTCAGGTAGTTAAGAAATAAAAACATCAGCACTTTCCTGTGTTTTGTGGTGTTTGCAATATTTGTGAGCTTTGTAACATTCGACTTGTGATTTTTTTCCTTCTCATTCTAATAAATATTCAGGTTGGTGTCTAGTTTTGTAGTTGCAATTTTGTCTTCTTTTTCTTTTTCTTTTCTTTTCTTTTTCTTTTTCTTTCTTCTTTTTTTTTTTTTTTTGAGAGAGAGTCTCGCTCTGTTACCCAGGCTGGAGTGCAGTGGCGCGATCTCGGCTCACTGCAACCTCCGCCTCCCGGGTTCAAGTAATTCTCCTGCCTCAGTCTCCTAAGTAGCTGGGATTACAGGCGTGTGCCGCCACGTCTGGCTAATTGTTTTTGTATGTTTAGTAGGGACAGGGTTTCACCTTGTTGGTCAGGCTAGTCTCGAACTCCTGACCTCATGATCCACCTGCATCAGCCTCCCAAAGTGCTGGGATTACAGGCATGAGCCACTACACCCGGCCTTATTTTTCTTAAAGAGCCCCTGTCCAGTTGTGTAAGCTCCAGGCTCCTTGGCGCCTGGCTTCACCCCACCCTCTCAGCATCCCCTGCCCAGGGAATCCACTTTACTGGAGTTGGGGGTAGATTCCAACCAGGACGCTTTGCCTCCCTCCCATAGGGTGGGGTGGACCCTGTCCTCCTAACCTTCGTGACCATGCAGAACAGCTGCCCCCATCCTTCAAGGACTGGCACCCACTTTTCACATGCCTCCCCTCATTTAATCCCCTTAATTTCACATCGCTTCTGTATATTTTCAGAATTATTGGTTAAGCCAAAATTGGATTATTGATCATTCCAATATTTCAGAATAATGAACACCACCCAGGTTGCCATAGAGAGATTTGAGGCAGGAGAGGTGAACACACCCCAGCTTCCCAGCCAGTAAGTGGTCGTGCTGGGATGTGAACCCAGGGCTATGGCTCCCCTGCTAGCAGCCCTAGTGCCATTGTATTCTCCACTGCTGGTCACCAGCGATCACAGCAGCCTTGTCAATAGGAACAGAAACCTTTTATGTGCACCCTCCCCTGTGCCCTGTGCCTTGCGTTGGACCACATTTCAGTCTCACAGCAGTGTTTGAAGATGGCTACACTGATTATCCTGTGTTACAGATAAGCAAATTGAGGCTAAGAGTGGCTAAGCAATACATTCACGATGGCACAGCTGATATGTAGTGAGAGTTCAGTTTTGAACTCAGGTCTGAGAGCCCCATTTTCATGACCCTGGCATCCCCAGGGAAGTCATCCCTGCCACCCCTGGATTGGTGCTATCAGCCTTCCTGCGCAGAATGTTCCAGAATGTCATCCCCTGCCCGGGAAAACTGGCCCTTTGAGTGGCTGACCAGCCCCCACTCCCAACCACTCTCCTTGGCTCTATTTGTAAAGTGAATTACTGCATTATGGGAGGAACAAGAAGGTTCTTTATCTCCACTTGGGCAAATCCATTAGGATTAGAGGCCCCTCTGAAGCCCCTCTGAGGGGGTGACGTAAGCCTGTCTTTGGTGATTTGCAGAGTGACAGCATGATAAGGAGTCCGGGCCCGTTTTAGTGGTGACAGGACATCCTCCCCCTGCAGCACCCAAGAATTAGCGGGCCTATCTCTCCATTTATCAAAGCCCTTTGGGGGATGAGGCAATCGGGCGGAGGAGTATTGCAGCCTCTCTGTCTCGGAGTCTGTGGAGCTGTCGCTTCCCGCCAGCTTGCCCAGGTCATACAGCTGCCCAGGATCTGCGGGGTCTTCGTGACTTCCCACAGTGAGAACCAACAGAAGGGTCTCCAACTGCCAGGCTTCGTGGCCCAGGTCCCTCCAGTGTCTGACCTGCATGGCCTGCCACCCTCTAGACAATGCCCAGACTTTTGCCCTGAAATACCATGAGGATGGGGATGCCATTATCTAGCAAGGGGACCGCCATGTCTGGGGAAAAATTCAAGGGTTCTGCCTGGCTCAGGCTCAGTCTGAGGTGCTAGGGAAGATGGCAGGTCCCAAAGATGATGCCCCCTGTATATCTCCCATTCCACCTGCTCTTCTTACAAAGTAAGGTCGACACTCTCCCTTTGAGAGGAAGAGTGACCCTGTCCCTGAGCTTGTGCAGACCTGTACGCTGACAGAGTATATGGCAGGAGTGACGCCCTGTGGCTCCTGAGTTGAGGGCTGAAAAGGCAATATGGCTTTCATTTGACTCTCTCTTTCTTGGAATTCATCCTCCATGTTGTGAGGAAGCCCAAGCCACATGGAGAGGCCATGTGTGGTTCTGGCCAGCAGCCCTTGCCAGGCCTGCAGCTGACATCAGCCTCAACTGGCAGACGTGAAGGTGAATGAGCCTTCAGGTGGTTCTGTCTCTAGCCTCTGAGCCACCCCAGCTGAGGCCCCAGATGTCACTGGGTGGAGAGAAACCATCCCCGCTGTGCCTGCTTGACCGGCAGAAGCCATGAGAGATAACAAATGATGATTGTTGTTTTGAGTGACTCCATCTTGGGGCAGTGTTATTCAAACAGAATAACCAGAACACATGCTGCTAATAAAGACGTATCTGAGACTGAGTGATTTATGAAGGAAAGAGGTTTAATTGGCTCACAGTCCCACATGGCTGGGGAGGCCTCACAATCATGGCTGAAGGTGAACAAGGAGCAAAATCACGTCTTACATGGCAGTAGGCAAGACAGCATGTGTAGGGGAACTCCCCTTTATAAAACCATCAGATCTCAGGAGACTTATTCACAGTCACGAGAACAGCATGGGAAAGACCCACCCGTATGATTCAATTACCTCCCACCAGATCCCTCCCATGATAAGTGGGAATTATGGAAGCTACAGGAATTATGGGAATTACAATTCAAGATGAGATTTGGGTGGACATACAGTCAAACCATATCACCGTTTGTGTGTGGAAGGCAGAATAGTGGCCCCCAAAAATGTCTTCATCCTAATCCCTGAAATTTGTGAACATGTTAGGTTACAGGACAAAGGGGAATTAAAGTCACAGATGGAATTAAGGCTAATAATCAGCAGGCCTCAAGATAGGGAGACCATCCTGAATCATCCAGCTTGGCCCAGTGTCATCACAGGGTCCTTAAAAGTGGAAGAGAGGGAGTAAGAGGAGAATCAGAGGGAGTTGTGATGGTGGAGGCAAGGCACAGAAAGATGCAGTGTTGCTGGCTTGGAACATGGAGAAGGGGCACGAGCCAGGAAATGCTGGTGGCCTCCAGAAGCTGGAAAAGGCAAGGAAATGATTTGCACCCGCAGGCTCCAGAAGGAACCTGGATTCAAGCCCTGTGAGACCTGTCCTGACCTCTGGGACTGTAGAGTGATAAGTGTCTGTTACTTTACGCTACCAAGTTTGTGGTGTTTTGTTGTAGCAGCAATAACAACTGACACAGCCTCTATGTGCTCTTGGGAATGAGAGAAGGAGATAATATCAAAGAAAAAGAGGGCCTAGCTGCAGGAGAAAGGTCTTGCATAGGTGAGAGGGAATGGGGGCCAGGACCCCAGTCATAGCCATTTAATAGTAATGCCATCAGCATCATTGTTATCAGCATCATCACCACCATTGTCATCATCATTGTCACCATCATTACCACCATCATCATCATCACCATCATCATCATAATCACCATCATCATCATTGTCATCATAATCACCATTATCATCATTGTCAACATCATCATCACCCACCACCACCATCATCATCATAATCATCACCATCATCATTGTCATCATCATCATCACCATTGTCATCATCATCACCACCACCATCATCGTCATCATCATAATCATCATCATCATCATTGTCGTCATAATCACCATTATCATCATTGTCATCATCACCATTATCATCGTCATCATCATCATCACCACCACCACCACCACCACCATCAACACCATCATCATCATTGTCATCATAATCACCATTATCATTATCATCATTACCACCACCACCACTACCATCATCATCATTATCATCATCATCACCACCATCATCGTCATCACTGTCATTATTATCATTGTCATTGTCACCATTGTTGTCATCTTCATTGTCATCATCATTATGAAGACTGTTCAGCAAAGACCCCAGGAGGTAGGGCCCCATCAGGAGACAGCATTTTCCCTGCAGGGATAGGTGGCCTCTAGCACTTAGTTCAACTCTTTCCTTTTCTGGGGATGGGGGTGCAGGAGGGAAAACCTAGGATCCCATCCAAACCCTCCACATTTTATCTCTTGCTTCATTTGCCTCTTTCTCTCCTGCCTTATTTGAGAGCTGATGTCCCTCCGACCTCTTTTGGAACACTGTTGACAGACAGCACAGGGCTGTAGGAACCCACTGGCCCTGGAGCCGACTGCCTGTGCTTGAATCCTGTCTCTAGCACCAATATTTGGGTAACCTTGGGTTATTTAACCTCTCTGTCCCTCAGTGTTCCCACCTCTAGAAGGAGATGAATGCTTCTGCCTCATAGGGGAGTTGTGACTTATACCTGGAATGAACTTTGGCCTATAATGGGTGTGTGACAAGTCTCCTCAGCATTGGACAGCTTCACTGCTCTGCGCCCAAGACTGCCCTCGTCAGTGCTGGATGAATGAGGCCAGGAGGCGGGGGAAAGAATGGAGGCAGGTGCCCAAGCTTGGGTTTGGGGCAACATCGAGCTAAAGAGCCAGAAGGCAGGGCTGCATGATCCCAAACTCTACCAGAGGCTTCCTCTCCCTGACTCCAAAGTCCTTTAGCCCTGGGCAGGTAGAAAGAAGGCGGGGGCCGGAGATGGAGATTCCCGGTGGACAGTAATGGTGCCTGGCCGCTACCATGGCTGAAGTTTGCCCCTCTGGCCTTGCCTGGGGACTGGCAGTCTCAAGACAGTGGAGAGAGGCTAAACTCCATCCTGCCCCTGGTAGAACCTGACACTGGACATCAGAGGCATCTTGGAAGGTGGTGTCTTCCCGGCCTGTTCCAGGGCAGGCATGTGAGACAACTTTGCCCAAGAATGCAAGCACCTTCCTGGGTCCCTACCATGAGGGCTCATGTTGTTTACCATAGTAGTTTGCAGACATAAACAAAATAATAATAAAATTGATGTATTAAAGAAACTTTTCATTGAATGGAGTTTTTAATAGAAAACTTAGTTTGAAAAAAACAGACAGGCTGAGTGTGGTGGCTCACACCTGTAATCCCAGCAATTTGGGAGGCTGAGATGGGAGGATTGCTTGAGGCCAGGAGTTCAAGACCTGCCTGGACAACATAGCAAGACTTCATCTCTACAAAAAAATTAAAAATTAACCTGGTATGGTGGCATACGCCTGTGGTCCCAGCTACTCGAGAGGCTGAGGTGGGAGGATTGCTTGAGCCTGGCAGTTCGAGGCTGCAGTGAGCTATGATCGCACTGCTGCCCTCCAGCCTGGGAGACTGAGTGAGACCCTGTCTCTAAATAAATAAGTAAATAAATAAATGGTCCTCCCAGTGGACACAGCCCTGGCTGGAAGGTGGGTTCTTGGCTGAGTTTCAACCCCGTTCAACCACGTGATGTTGGGAAGATGGTGAGATCTTTCTGAATCTCAGTGTCTCCATCTGCAGAGACAGAGGCGCAAAATGGCACCACTACACAGCACTGCTCCCTGGGCCGTCAGGGGCAGGGTTCCTGGGTGGCGCCAGCCATGTGGGCTCATGTCCCCTGGCAATCTTGTGACGTCGTCTCCCATTTCCACCTGGACATTGCCCATCGGTCCCTCCATGGGTGGAAGCTTCCCTGTGATGCTGGGGGTGCAGAGCGCTCCTCCATGGTTCTGCCTGTGCCTGTGGGTGATGCCCTTGCTCGGCTGGGCTGGAAGTGGCCACTTGGCCGTACAAAGCACTCTCCATCTGGGATAGGATGACTTCACAGCCGCAGCTGGGTCTCCTGGGCCTCTCGGACCCTTCCTCAGAAGGCTCTCAGGGCTCTGCAGCTGGGCAGAGCCTGCATGATTCGTGGCACTGTCCCTTTCTCCCTTGATTTCTCTGCACCTCAGTCTTCCCATCTGTAAAGTGGGGATGCTGACAGCCCATGCGGTAGGGTGTTAGGAAAAGCAGGCAGAGAATGCCCGGGGAAGACCTGGCTGGCGGTTGACCTGCAGTGAGTAGTGGTGAGGGGCAGTGTTGCCACTTGAGGAATAGCGCTGAGAGAGACCAGGCAGAGGTGAGGTTTTGAGACCAGGGAGATGTTCAGGGTGACTGGGGTGGTGGGTAGTGAGAAGGGGAGACTACAGCGTTGTTAGGGGCTTGGAAGTCTGAGCTAAAGAGCTTAGACTTCATGTTGTAGCATGGAAGAGCTGGTTGTAGGGCTGAAGAGACAGAAACAGAGAAGGCAAGCAACGTAGCCAATGTCACATGGCCCATTTTTTTTTTTTTTGAGATGGAGTTTAGCTCTTGTTGCCGAGACTGGAGTGCAATGGCATGATCTCGGCTAGCTGCAACCTCCGCGTCCTGGGTTCAAGCAATTCTCCTGTCTCAGCCTCCCGAGTAGCTGGGATTACAGGCATGCGCTATCACGGCTGGCTAATTTTGTATTTCTAGTAGAGACGGGGTTTCTCCATGTTGGTCAGGCTGGTCTCAAACTCCTGATCTCAGGTGATCCACCCACCTCGGCCTCCCAAAGTGCTGGGATTACAGGCATGAGCCACCATGCCCAGCCCACACTGCACTTTAGTGGCAAACTGGGATGAGGATGGGCATCCTGTTTCTCTACCTCTCAACAGTGTCTGAGCCTTGGGTGCAGCCTTGCAGGTGAAACCCTGGGCTGAGAGTAGAGGCTGTAGCGCCCTTGACCTTGAGTGCAGGTGACATTTCCAAGCTGTCTTTAATTTGCCTTGAAATCAGGCACAAATCCTTTGCAAAACAGGAAACTCTCTCTTTGGGCCTGACATGAAATAGTATTGCTATTGAATTAAAGAGTTAGAGCTGTCTCAAAGGAGTGGCATATTGAAATAGCCGGTGGGGTCAGCCCAGCCTGGCTAAGCCTTTGATAGCACAGCTGATAATAGACCCCGGCCTATAAATACCGGGAATCAATCACGGGCTGGAGCTGCTGACAGCCTGCATGTTCACATATCATGGCAGATGGGCGGGAGGCAGGGGCGGCGATTTGTCTTGCCTTTCAGATGGATTTCCTGTTTTCTAGGGAGTGGGAAAGGACCCATCTGGTAATCAGATCGTGGCCAAGATCACCTCCTCTGGGTCACTGGCCCCTGCTCCATGTGTCCCCTCGGCCACGTGGCCCCAGCATTGCGGCGGTCAGGCGGCCGGGCCTCTGAAAATGAGAGCCACACCAGGAGGCCTCTCGCCCCGTGGAAGCTTCCGGAGGCTGGGGAGGCGGGGACTCCTGCCTTTCATCTTCCTTTCTGCTTCTTTTCTTGGCACCTGGCTTTGCTCATAGGCATTTCATTATTATTTTTTTCTTCAAAGGCTCGTCTCAACTTGCACATGTATGTGCAAACTTCCACAAACACATGCACATGTGTGTGTGCACACATGGGGTCCACAGCCTCCTTTGCAGGCCCTCCTGGGCTTCCCTGTCAACCCACAGCTCCTCCTAGATGCGTCCTGATGCCTTAGCCAGGTAGAGTTCTCTGTAATATTATTTGTTCTGATCATTGCATTTTCACTGCTCCTGACTCTCAGTTTACAACATAGCCCAAGGCCAGCTACGGCTCTGAGCCACCTTTTTGTCTTGGGCAAGGTGTCCCAGAGCTGAAGGGTCCACACTCTCCTTGGCTCCGCCAGGAGTCTCTGTCCCTCCTCCCCTCTTACTTCCCCCAATCCCCAGGCATTCACAGAGTGGGTCCTTTGTGTGAGACCTTGGGCTGGTGGACACATGGGGCTCTTTCTTCCTGAGGAGCTGGTCGGGGGATGCGTCTATCCTGATCATATCTCAGGTGTCTTCTCTCCCCTGGCTCATGAAATCTCCTGTCTCCCAAATTATGTCCAGACAGGGGTGGTAGCAGGCATCTCTCTCTTCCAGCCCAGAGGCCCACCCACCAGCCAAATGGGGCATTTAATTGGAAAGGGAGGCTGGCAGGCTGCCTGGAAATCCTGCAGAAAGGATCGGAGTGGCCTGCTTTGAAAACTTTGCCACATACCTTCCCCGCAGATTTCTGTTTCAAATATTTGAAGGGGTTCTTGGGACCATTTGAGAATTACACCCGGAGCCATGCAATGACAGATCCCTCCAAACCCTGGTGGGGCCTGTGTGGTGGTGCCGCCCAATCACTTGGTATAAATGGGAAACGGAGGCAGATCAGAGGTGGAGAAAGAATTGAATTCAATTTGGTTCAGCACTCCAAATGTTGGTTGAAGGCTCTTTCTGTGAGAGACACACAAAATACTTACCTGAAAGCCCCTCCCCGCCAAATCCTGAAGTCACAGCTTCCTTAGGGACTTCAGCCAGAACTCTCCCCAATATTTCAGTCCTGCTGGATGATTCCTGAGCCTGCAGATTCCTGTTGGTGTGAGTCAGCAGGGTGGAGGGATGGGTGAAGGAAGGAGTGAGGGTCGGTGAGGGAGATTCATCCTAGAGGCCTCATGGGTTTATCTGCCAAGCAGATAAAGCCCCTCCTTTCAGAGCCAAAATCAGGGTTCATCAGGGCTGGAGTGAGGCCATGGAAGGCAGGATCAGCTGTGTGTGCAAGACAGACTGAGAGCAAGAGAAGAACTGGGGTGTGGAGGGGTGGCTGGGGGCAGCTGTCAGAAGGTCCAGGCCCTGAAGCCCCGGGTGGTCAGCTGCTCCTCTTCACAGAGACCACGGTGCTGGCATCTCATCATCAGGGGGCATGTGGCCAGTGGAAGCCATGCAACTTGGTAACCATGGGTGAGTAGCTGGACCTCCTCTAGCCCTGGTTTCTTCCTTGGCAGAGCAGGAATGACCAGAGTTGCTTTGCCAGGTACCTTGAGATGAAATGAGGTGTGAGGGCAGAGGGCCGCCCTGTGCTGCTCAGAGCTGGTCCATCAGTCCACAGGCTGTTTCCAGGGCCATATTCCAGCTCTGGCCTTTTTGAGTCATGGTGCTCTAGGAAAGTTTCTAAGCCTAGAGCCCCATGGGATACTAATGGGATAGTAACAGTCCTACCTCACAGGGCTGGGGCATGAAATTGGTTAATCCATATAGATAACCTGGAATAGTCCCTGACTGGTACACAAAGGGGGTTAAATTGAACTGGTGCTGTGATGGTGGTGGTGGTAGTGATAATGATGATGATGCTATGAGGAGAATGGTGGTGTTGATGGTGATAGTGTTGATGGTGGTGATCATGATGGTGGTAAACGTGGTGATGATGATGATGATGGTCATGATGATGATGATGATGGTGATGGTGATGGTGATGATGGTAGTGGTGGCAGTGGTGATGATGATGGTGATACTGGTGATGGTGATGGTGGTGATGGTGATGATGATGGTGATGGCAGTGGTGATGATGATGCTGATACTGGTGATGGTGATGGTGATGATGCTGATGATGATTCTGGTGATGCCAGTGGTCCTGATGACAATGATCACTGCTGATGGCGATGATGGTGATGATGATCATGATTCTGCTGATGCTGATCCTGATGGTGATGATGATGATGATGATGATGATGATGGTGGTGGCAGTGGTGGTGATGATGATGATAATGGTGATGGTGATGATGATGATGATGATGGTGATGGTGATGATGATGGTGGTGGCAGTGGTGATGATGATGGTGATGGTGATGGTGGTGATGGTGATGATGGTGATGATGATGATGGTGATGGTGGTGATGGTGATGATGGTGGTGGCAGTGGTGATGATGATGGTGATGATGATGATGATGGGGTAGTGGTGGTGGTAGTGATTGTGATGACGATGGTGATGATGATGATATGGCAATAGTGGTGATGGTGATGGTGGTGATAATGATGAATAAATCGTCATCATTTAGCACTTGTTATATGCTTAGATCTGTCCCAGCCATGGGGATACCACAATGAACAAGACAAGTATGGTTCCTGCTCTCCTGAGAATCAGTACTACTGATGGCAATAGCCAGTGGGTAAGTTAACCGACCCATGAGCAAAGTAACATTTCAGAGGGAGGAGCTGGAGAGTTGTGTGAAGTGTGGGGCAGCCCAGTAGGCTCCTTGGAGGAGGTGACATGTGGATGAAGAGACGGGGGGAGCCACCATCATGAGGGGCAGAGAATTTATATTGGCTCAGATAACTAGGACATCTGGGGTTGCATCTAGCATTGGGAACAGGCGTTAAAGATGCCCTCTCGCTCCCCCTCTCTCCTCTCTGCCTCTCCTGACTACCTTTTGACTTCCATGGTACCCCGAATCAATGCCACTCTTACGGCTTCCAAGATCCGTTGTCCCGGGCTAGTTGTGTCCCCTCCCTGGAACTCAGTGGTCCCATCTGGAAAGTGTGATGGGGAACGCTAGCCAGACACCCCTGTGGTCCCTTCCATCTCTGGGGTCCCGAGTGCCTGGCCCTGTGCTGGCGCCCTTGTTGGGCCATGGAGTAACTGACAGTAAGCAGTGGGCATGAGGAGCACTTCCTGCTTCAGGGCCTGCGGGAGGGTGAACAGTTCACTTCACAGTAGGTCTCTGTGGCTTACCTGGGATGGAGCTGGCTCCAGGAGCAATTTCCCCTGGATGAAACAATCTTTGGAATCCACCGTATATCACTCGCCATGACGTCTTCTGTTTAAACAGCGGCAGCCGGCAGAGGGTGAGCGAGGAGGCCGTGCTGGGAGGAGGGCCCATGTCCCAGCCCCCAACCCCGGCCCCGGTGGAAGGCCCCGCTATGGGGGAAAGCAGGCATATGGAACCCATTTGGGAAATTCTTTCTGCATAAACCACTTTTTCCAGGTAAGACACATGCCCATATTGACTGGGAAAGATGCAATACCTCTTACACTTTGCCGGCTACATTTTTATGGACCTTAATTAAACCCACGGTCTGCCGGGTTGGGAAATTGGACACTCTTTGTGCGGCGCCTTCTTAAGAAGTACTGTTGGCCCAGGGGAGGCCAATTATAACCTCGCGTCCTCCCCACCTCCCAGGACCTCACAGACCCTCCAAGCGCTTGGAAAATGTGCGCTCGACAGAGGGCCTTTGATTCTGCTTGCCTGGACAGCGTTAGGCCTGTTTCCAGGCCTGAGGCAAGTGGTGGTCAGGGTCCCAGGCGGCCGGCGGAGGGGCCACAGAGACCGGAGTTTTCAAACTTCATTGAGCACCAGCGCTTTCCTTTCATGCCCAATCGCATGGAGACCTCGGATAGAAACCAGATGAGCCTGCTGGGGCTGAAGGGGGAGGTTGGTGGGGGGTGCACGTGGCCCCTTGCTCACCCCCAGCTCCTGTTCGCCATGAGGTGACAGCGAGGACAGCCGCCTGGGTGTTCAGTGAGTTGTTAACGCCTGGATGGTTGTGCTCGTTATCCTGTTTAACAGGCACAGGCCAAGTGAGGTAGGTGCTGTTACCATTGCCATTTCACACTTGAGGGAACCTAGGCGCAGAGCAGCAGAGGGACGGGCCCAGGGTGGCCCGGCCGGAGCAGGAGGAGTGGTGGGGTTTGGGTCCTGGAAGCCCGTGTGCGTGGCCGCCTCTCCAGAAGGCTGCTGGGGAGCTACTGATTGGGCCCAAGCCTCTCTTTTGACGGTGCTCCAGGCTCAGTGCTGTGCCTTCCACTCCCGGTGGCCCCTGCCTGTGCGTGATCTCCACAGCACAGCCCCCTTCTTGTGTCGGGTAGTGGCCTAGGCCCCTCCTATGCTTGGGTTCATGGATCCAGCAGGGCGGGGGGGGTCCTCTCACCGCTGGAGGGGCTACTCTGCCAGCCTCTCTGGTTGGGTGGAACCTGCCCTTGACTAGCATACATGGTCCGGGGCACCCCAGGACTTTTCAAGGATGCCTTTGGTTGGAGGAGAAGGTGTCTTTGCTTTGGTCCTTTTTGTGCTCTGGGCTTCCACGAATATTTCATTTTTAGGGAAGAGATTCGTTAATCAAGAAAAGTGTCCCCTGGATGAGCTTTTCCTGGGATTGGCTCTTCCTGGGATGCTCAGGTCATGGCCCCAGAAACCCCAACCTAGCCAAGGGAGCATGTTAGGAAGCCAGGCCAATGGAGGGATAATTTACATGCGGTAACATCCATCCTTTCAAGGTGTATGCTTTGGTGAATTTTGACAAATGCAAGTAGTCACAGACACCCTCGTAATCAAGATACGGAAGATTTCTATCACCTCCAAAGCTCCCTCGTGCGTCCTCCCACCCCAGCCCCCCAGTGGTGGATCCGTTTTTGGTCCTCATAGCTCTGCCTTTTCTAGAATCGCATCAATAGACCCATGCAGTTGGCAGTCTCTTCAGTGTGGCTTCTTTCACTTTGTATTATGCCTTTAACATCCAGCCATAGTTACAGGGACATCGCTGGCACCTCGCAGGCTGGGTGGCCTCAGGGAAGATGGAGCTGGGCTCACCCCGGGTACCCTGGAGCAGTCGAGCTCTCTGGCAGGTAGAGCAGGGTGGGTCCAGAAGCTTCTGCTAGTCTTTGTTTCCTCATTAACTCAGGAATGTTAATCAGTGCTGACTTCTTGGGGTTGATGGGAAATGATGGGCCATTTGGATACTTGCTCAGGGACTGTGCACAGTGGCTCATGCCTGTGATCCCAAGGTTTTGGGAGGCTGAGGTGAGAGAAGCACTTGAGGCCAAGAATTTGAGACCAGCCTGGGCAACATAGTGAGACCCCATCACTAGATATGTGCTCCTGACCTCATAGCACAGAAACCCAACCAGAAAGGATTCAATAAGTCTGGATGAGGATGGCTCCAGGGCAGCTTCATCCAAGCACTCATGACATCAGTGATCTGGGTGACTCCTCAGCTGCAAGATGGTGGCAGCTTCTTCTAGCATCACGTCCCTACGGGACAACATCCAAGTGGGAAGGGGCACTTCCCTGTGGTGTTCCCCTCTGTTAGCAAGAAACCCTTTTCCGGGAGCAGCCCCCAGTTTCAGCAGTCTTCCCTGTGCCTCACTGGTCAGGGTGTGTCCCATGCGTCATGTCTACACCAATCTCCAGCAACAGACGGGAGCTGCCAGGAGAGGGTGAAGCCTGAGCAGCCTTTGCTCTGGGCTGGAGAGGGGCTGGTGAAGCACAGAGCAGATAATGCCTGGATAAGACGGGGGCTCTCCGGGCAAGGGAAGGAGGACGTGCCCAGAGGTGGGGAACTGGCCGTCTGCTAGATGCTGTGTGTGAGTCTGATTGCAAGGAGGTTCTCTGTCTACAAAAGACCAGAACAGGAGGGAGCCATTAGGGAAGAAGGCCACCAACATGGCCGGCTGACTGTGGTTGGCCTTCCTCAGGGCTGAGGCTTAGATAGGGTGAGCCTATCTTGTAGATGTTCCTCAAAGGAGAGGACACAAATGAGCAATTTGTGACCTTTGTGTGCTTGCTGTCCATACCTTCATCCTTCCATCTCTCCATCTATCCATCCGTCTCTCCATCCCTTCCTAATCCATTCATCCCTTCATCCATCCCCTTCATCCATCCATCATCCATCAATCTCTCTATCCCTCCATTCATCCATCAATCTCTTCATCCTTCCATCCACCTATTATCCATCCACTTCTCCATCCATCCATTCATCTATCCTTTATTCATTTATCCATTTATCCATCCATCCATCTCTCTATCTCTTCATCCATCCATCCACTCATCTATCCATCTCTCCACCCCTCCATACATCCATTCATCAGTTGTCCTTCCATTAATTCGTCCATGTTTCCATCCCTCCAGCAGTCTCTCCATCCCTCCATCTCTCCATTCATGTATCATCCCTCCACCCATCATCCATCCATATCTCCATCCATCCACTCATTGATCCTCCATTTATTCATCCATCCACCCACCCATCCATCCATCCATCCATCCATCCATCCATCCATCTCCTATCTCTCCATGCATCCGTCTCTCATTTCTCCATCCCTCCATCTCACCATTGCTCTATCACTGCATCCTTCTATCCCTCCATGTCTCCATCCCTTCTTCCAAGTAACAACCAAGCACTTGCTCTGGGTGGGCCCTGTGCTGGGTCCTGGAGAGAAGGGGAGAAACTGGGCTCTGTCGTTCAGGACTTTGGCAAGGGCCCCTCACGGTTGGGGTGTGGAGGCGTGGTTTCCCTTGGGGCTTTCCCCATAGTGAGCATGTGATGCTTTCAGGGGAACACTGCCTTTTAATTTTTATCCCAAGATTCAAGCAGCACAGATCCTCTCTTGCTTCACAGCCCCTGTCCAATCCTGCCTTTCATTAACTAACTTTAGTAACTTTCCTCGCTGTGTTTAATTAAGATTCATACGAGCAAGACTTGAAGGAACACAAGCATCTCAGTGCGGCTGGGCCGGCCTTTAGTCTTGGGCTTTTTACCTCTTGCCCGTGGTGGTGCTGGCTGCAGAGGACCCCCTGAGCTGGGAGTAGAAATAACTCACCTTGGTTTTTTTCTTGCTGCCAGACTTTTAGGATGGCTCTGAAACACCAGACTAAGTCTGTGTCCAAAAGCCTCAAGCATTGGCCTGGGATTATGTAGGTGGATATCATTTGAGGACTATGGAGGCCAAATTATTTCCTTGATTGTCTAATCTCCTTGTTAACAACATTTGTGAAAAAATGAAGGGTTTTTTTTTTTTTTGTTTTTTGTTTTTTTTGGCTGCAATGGAAGTTTCAAGACTTACAAGGAAACAGCTTTTGCTGTTCCCCTCTTAGGGCCTTCCAGCCTGACAAAAGAAATCAGCAGCTTGCCCGTGGGCAATCTGGAGAGGCAGGAAGGTGGGTGAGGGAAGCATGACATCATATCAGGTGGGAATAAAAAGGCGTGTCCTGCAGTGTCCCTGTTCAAACATATTTTGGTGCTTGGATGCCCGCTTTGGAAGCTGGAAGACCCTCAGCAGGAACTGCGAAGGGCTCCAGAGACCCGGACTCAAGTTTTCAAACTTTAAAAATGAGTATGGCAAGGGAGGAGTGAGGGGTGAAGGGCAGCAGCCCCCTGGTGGGGAGCAGGGGCGCCGGGAGTCAGATCTGACAGAGGGCTCCCGGCTGTGTGCTGCATGCGTGGTTCCCCTTTTTCTTGGAGAAAATGGGGAGGCAGGAGTGAGGCAGATTGCTCTGGGACAATGGGCCCCTCTCCCGTCGGGTGGGAGCGGCTCTGGGCCCAAACAATAGGCCTGGGCCGGCCCCTCTCCTGCTGCCCACCGTCTGAGACAGATGCCGGGGAGCCGCCGGGAGTGCCCCAGAGGTGACCTTCGGGGGCTGCCCTGTCACTTTGTGGAGGAGTCCTGGAGAGGGAGGGAGGCAAACAATGGTGGCCTCATGCCAGGCGCCCGGCCTCCGGCACGGGCCAGGGCTCCCCAGGGAGAGCACGGCCTGGCAGGTGCTGCTATTGTCTCAGGGCGCAGGGGCCTTCCGCGGAGGTCTCCCGGCAGGGAGGCAGGGCACCGGTCAGCACGCGGCAGGAGAGGCTTGGGCTGGAGGCCCTCTTGTTGTTCTCCAGGGAGGACGCAAGGAGCTGATTCTGCTGGCTCCATTCAGGCCTGACAGCCCCAGCCCAGTTCTGCCCTCAGCCCCTAAAAGCGTCATTCAGAAAAGCAATTAACGTCTCTGGCCTCCAATGGCACCGGGACTCTGAGTGTCAGATTTTACAGCCGGACCTGCCCTAGGAAATGCCCAAATCTGAGCTGACATCCTCGCTTGAGCTGGGGGCACAGGCGGAGTTTTCTGGAGGAAGGGCATCAGCTCAGGAGGACAAGGGGTGAGCCCTGGATTTGTCTTTTCTCTGCAAAGAGACTTGCCCTGGGAGAACCCCCACACCATAAGCTGAAAGCAGTGGATGAGCGCAGCAAGGGCTCTCTCATCCTGGGGAGGAGCAGTAGCTAATGGGTGTGCGTGTGTCCGTGTGTGTGTGTGTGCATATGTGTGTGTGCATATGTGCATGTGTGTTTTTGTAGGCATGTATATGTGCACATGTGTGTGGCTATACATGCGTGCACACACACATACACTGCAAATGTGTTCATGTTGTGTGTGCGTTTGTGTGCACACACGTGTGTCTGGGCAGGTGTACATACCTGCATGTGTACACAAGTGTATTTGTGTGTGCATGCCCATGTCTGTCCCATGTCTGTGCACATGTGTGCATACGTGTTTGGCGGGGTGCATACTTGTGCCAGGCACTTTGCTGGGGATTTTTGCAAACGTCATTCATGTGACTTATGATCTGCTGGGAACAGGCATTGCTATCTTGACCACAGATGAGGACACAGACCCCTGAAAGGCACATGACTTGACTATACCTCCTCAAACTCCTCAGACCCCAAGGTGGGTCTGCAAGACCTCACAACTTGGGCCTTTTCTACTGTCCACTCATCTGCAGGCTGTGTCCTTCCTCAGCCTGCTGGCTCTGGGATCTGGGAATGTGCCTTGGTCGGCTGGGTCTTTGAGACTGTTCTAGGCCCTAGGGGAGAAGCAGACACAGTCTCTGCCCTTGTCCTGCAAAGGGGAAGGGAACATGGAGGGCAGAAGTGGCTCCTCTAGGTGGCAGGGAAGGTGGTAGGGGAGTCCAGAGGAGGCCCATGTCCTGCTCTCAGGGGCCAGGGAATGCTTCCCGGGAGAATGATGTCCAAAGCCAGGCTGCAGGTTGAGCCAGCGTGAGGCAGGTGAGAGAGGCCTGGAGAAGTCCCTAGCTGTAGAGAAGGTGCCCGCAGCCCTGAGGGAGCCAGGGGTTACCTGGGGGGAGGTCTGAGGCTCACCAAGGTTGGGTGCTTGCTGTCACCTGCTTCATTGCGGAGCCATACATGGAGCTGCGGAGTTCAAGGTTGGCTTCTCAGACACCTAAGGCAGCCTCACAGCTGAGCCAGTCTGGGGAGGAGGACCACCTAGGGGCCTGGCAGGTGGTCCAAGTGGCTCCTCAACTGGAACTATGCCCTGCCTTGCCCTGGTTCCCTGTGCTGGGGTGACTCTGTGCTCAAGCCTATGATAATCGTCTCTCTGCCTGCCTCTGGTGTCCCTGGTCCTCCTTGTACTGCAGGAGCTTGTGCAGGGCAGGGTGAGTGGCGGGGACTTGACTCTCACAGTCCCTAGCTCTACTGGCTCTGAGATTTCAGCCAACCTCCCCTCCATGAGCTGCGCTGTCCTCATCTGTAAAGTGGGGGGATTGGCAGAAAGCCACGGACAGTTTCCCACAGTGCCCTGCCCATCAAGCAGGCCATATTCAGACAGTGCTGTCATTTCACCGAATGGAGGACTCCCTCTCACCCCCTCTGGCTGGCATTTCACCAAACCGAGGGTTCCCTCTCACCCCCTCTGGCTGGCATTTCACTGAGCAGGGGGCCCCCTCTCACCCTCAGGCAGACCTGTCATTGCACCCAGCCTTTCTCTCTCCTGATGTGCAACACCAGGCTGGGCCGGCGCTGACCACCCTGGACATGGCAGTGTGGACGGTAACAGAGCCGGTGACCCGCC
This sequence comes from Homo sapiens, assembly GCF_000001405.40. Taxonomy (NCBI): domain Eukaryota; kingdom Metazoa; phylum Chordata; class Mammalia; order Primates; family Hominidae; genus Homo; species Homo sapiens. Next base: position 41,178 of record NT_187582.1, read on the forward strand.
CTCCGTCGGGGCGCCTTCCCTGGCGGCTCTTGCTCCTGCCGTCTTGAGTTCAACCTCCCAAGAGGGGCTCTGGTGGGTCCAGGTAGTTCTTCTCCCCGCTGTGTGTGGCTTTTGCTCCTGATGGTTTCAGGCTGTCGGTGCCCCGGGGGTTGGTGTTTTCCCCCCAGCTCCTGGTCTCTAAGCTGAACTAGGTCCAGGCTCTGTGAACACTGCCCAGTCCCTGTGGCAGCTCCATCAGGGGCCTCTGAGCGTGGCAGGCACCCATGCACTGTGGGCGTTTTCTTTGAGATGCTGCCTGCCCGTTGCGAGCTGCTGGCCTAAGCTCCTCACTGAGACTGCCTGGCATTCGGAGGACGACCACAGGGGTGTGAGCTGCCCCGGGGTGCATTCGCGTCAAAGAGGTTGAGGTGGAACCAGCTGCGACCCTCAGCAGCAGCAAGTGGCCACTTTGGGGACCCTGTGGGTTTTGAGTCAGAGGAAAACAGAGTTTAAGCCTTTTCCCATTTGTCCTGAGAGTACTCACCAGGGGCTTGCGACTGCAGTGTTTACCCCGAGATAACTCCGCCACGAAATAGCTCGATTTTATTATTATTTTTGCATCGCTCTAGTATATTGACTTTGGAAACAAAAGACGTCATATCCTACTCATAGCATTCTGTTTCTAGTAGCGGCATTTCCATTTACAAAATAGAGTCATTCTCGATCGCTGAAAATGTCACATCCTAGAAAACACAGAATTCCTACGCGTGGTTGTTCTCGGATGTTTGTTGGCCAAAGATTGATTTGACGAATCCGTTTTTTCCAAAATAGACGATTCTGATGATTCACGCGAGTCTGATGTTAGTTCTGTTTAGAAATGACTCCAAGAACAGTTTTTATGTTTTATTTTCTCATTGAAAAGCAGTCAGATTTGCTTCAGCCTCAAGAAGTGTGTTTATGTAAAATTAAATGAGTGCTGGCTTCGAGCCGCACTTTTTTTTCCCCCTAAACAAGAAAAGGGTTAAAACTGGAAGAACCTTAGAAATGACCCCTCAATGCACAGATGCTGACACAGAGGCCCAGAAAGAAGGGTGTTTTTGGGGTCCCTGGGAAGCTGGGGCTCTGCTGCCCTCAGGACATGGAGCGGGAATACTCAGCCCAGGGCACCCTGGCCTTTTCTCTCTGGGCTCCCGGGTGAGTGTTCAGGACAGCAGCCAGGTCATGACTGATGATTTTCTAGGGACCTCTACTTTGCTCATTTAGAATCACTGTGACCCTATGGGGTGGGGGGCACCGGAGATGTTTGTTCCGTTTTACAGTCAGTAAAACTGAGGCCCAGAAGGAGCCAGGATGTGCTCGAGGTTGCACCTGAGGCCAGGGCACAGCAGTGTCCAGGGTTCTTTTAGAAACGTTGCCCTTGGTCTGAGTCCTAGGCGCGTGGGTCCAAAGGGATCTCAGGTGGGAGGATGGTGCTGGGGGGTGGGGCCCACCCAGCACCTCTCAGGGAGGCCCGGACTCATGGCTGCCCGGGGCTGGGTGGAGGAGCTCTGTTCCTCTGGGTCTGTGCAGGCAGGAGCAGAGGTCATCTCCTCCCTGAGTGAACAGGCCTTGACGGTTGTGTCATGGGGCCCCGTTGGGGGGACACTGTTTAATCTGACTGGCATGAGTAGATTTCAACGGGTCCAAGTCTGACTGCTGTGGGGTGCCTGGGAGCGGGGCTGGGTGTGCACGGCGGAGGCCCCAGATACCATCCTGCCTGGAGATGCAAGGTGGGAAGGTGTGGCAGAGTCCTCATGGCCTTGGCGGGCTCGGGTGGCAGGGGGGACCTCCATCTCCACCCTGCTCTGTTTGACCTGGGCTGCTTACTGGAGGGTGGAGGGAGAGCAGCAGGGCCTTGGAGGGACTTAGTGAATGACCAGCAGAAGGAGTGGCTTCCGATGGCACAGGCGTCCAGGGCAGATGGTTCCGGCCCGCTTACGGTGGGTGAGACACGCAGAGGAAATACCCTCAGAGCTAAACCCTGGCTCCTGGGTCAGCCACGGAGTTTCTTCAAGCCCCAGCTTCTGTATCTGGAAAGGGGGTGAGGAGATGACCTTTCTTGAGTAAGTCAGTGCTGGAGAAGCTGTTCGTGTTCGCTGAGGGTCAGCTTTTGTCGGCGCAAGAATCAGACCTGGCCATGTTGCGGGGCACTCACTCAGCCAGTCTGGTTGGGAAACCTGCCTTGACCTTGGCTGGAGCGAACCCCTCTCCCAGACAGTGATTCATCGGGGGATGTGGTGTTGAGGAAGGGGTGGTGAACACGTGCTATTGAAGGGACGCTGTTTTTCTCCCCCCGCCCCCGGGGTTTCGTCACTGGCCTGGGAAAAGGCTGAATTTGGAGCCCTGTGGGCCGTGCACTTGGTGAGGACTGGTGGGTGGGGTGTGTCCCGGCTGCCAAGGGAGGAAGGCACACCGTCCTCTTTTCCTCTTTTCCTGAGGCCTCGTGGTGGTCATGACAGTAGCAGGGCCGATGACAGCTCACACGGCCAGCAGTGTGGGCTCCTCACTCAAAGCTCAAACATGAGGCACAGGCGAGCTTGGTCACCTGGCAACTTGCTCAGGGTCACATGTCTGCTCAGCCATGGCCGGGACTCCAATCTGCCTCGCGTCCTCTCCTGCTCCTTCTGGGCCACGCTGCGCAGGGAGAAGGACCCCGGCTGGGTGGAAGCCCTTGGACTCCCTGCCTCAGTTTACCCATCATGTCTTTTGACCTAACCATAGCGACCTTTGGCGCTTATGTATAAAGCTCGCTCTCTTGGCTGCGTCACCAGGCCTGGGTTCCAGAGAGCCCTCCCTCCCCATGGGCCCAAGGAAGGGCCTGGAGTGAGGTGGCCAGCCGCAGCTTGGCTGGGATGGTATGGTGGTCCATAAGGCCTCGTGGGCTGTCCAGCTCCAGCCAGCCAGCCTCGGTGAAGCCAGCCGACTTGGCGGCAGTCTCCAGCACTTTGAGACGTTTGTCCCCCTCCTGCCCCCGTCCAGCTATGACAAGTGGGCTTTCAGTAGATATGACAGCCTCTGGTGGGGGGTCCCTGGCCCCTGTCCATGTCTCTACACTTGACTTGCTCGGAGTTCACTGGCCCGAAATAATGTTCCCAATGCAAGTCGGCGGACGGAACATTCGGAGTGGACGGTTTGCTTCCCCCCCACTTTTTAATACATTAAACATGCGTTACTGGAGTTCTACCCGATTCCTCTGACAGCTGTGAAAAAATAAAGAAAATTCAGTTTGAACTTAAAAAGCTCGGGCTTAATTTATGTCCCGCACCTTTGTCTGCTGGGTCCTTTTTCCTCTTCCGATGGAAAGGCCCCAGGGAGCGGGCGACAGAGGCTCGGCCACCCCACGTGGCCCCTCAGTGCCCGGGCCTTAATAGGGGCGCCCAGTGGCCAACACGGAGGGGAGTTTTCAGATGGAAATCGGACAAAACAATGCAATCATCTGTCTCGCAATCTGTTTTGAAGGGGAAAGAAAGAGCGGGCAGAGAGGAGAGAGTCGTTTTCTACTAGGGGAGGCTTCATTCAGAGAGTTTTATAGGAGAAGACAGATGTCATGAATACTGATGTGGAGAGCCTGGGTCTGGCAGAGTTTTTTTAATTTTCTGAGTTGTAAAGACAAAGTGTTTTAATAACACAGGGAAACACATGTTGATGGGTGGGTCTTTAGCTCATTCTGATTTCTCTAACTCCCTCTCTTTCTCCTCCTTTCTTTCCGTCTTTCTGCCTGCCTGCCTGCCTGCCTGCCTGCCTGCCTGCCTTCCTTCCTTCCTTCCTTCCTTCCTTCCTTCCTTCCTTCCTTCCTTCCTTCCTTCCTTCCTTCCTCCCTCCCTCCCTCCCTCCCTCCCTCCCTTCCTTCCTTTTTTTGAGACAGGGTCTCGCTCTGTGGTCCAGGCTGGAGTGCAGGGGTGCAATCTCTGTTCACTGCAACCTCTGCCTCCTGGGTTCCAGCGATTCTCTTGCCACAGCCTCCTGAGTAGCTGGGACCACAGGCGCCCATCGTCACGCCCAGCTAATTTTTTTGTAGTTTTAGTAGAGATGGAGTTTTGCCATTTTGCCCAGGCCGGTAACAAACTCCTGGCCTCAAGTGATCCACACACCTCGGCCTCCCAAAGTGTTGAGATTACAGGTGTGAGTCACCATGCCCGGCCTCTCCTTTTTTCTTCTTCTTTCTTTCCTTTCTCCTCCTTTTCCTTTTATCACCCTGTCTCCCTCTGTCTGTCTCTTTCTCCCTGTTTCTTCTCTTGGCCTGTTATGGGGTTCGGGAGCCACACAAAACATTTCCTTCTGTGCCCTTTCACGGCCCACCTTCCTGGTTGAGAGAAGGAATCTGCTCTTCTGAAGCACTGTGCTTCCATCTGAATGGCACAGCATTTCCGAGTTTGGGGACAGAATGTATTGAGCTAAAAGAGGTGTTTGCTCATGCACTCACTCTACAATGGGGGCGGGAAAAACAGGTGAATCAAGTGTGGGGCCTGCCTGTCCGTCAGGAGCTGCTGGTCAGACAAATATGAACGTGGACACAACCTGCTGGGAGGCGTCTCTGCTTTTGGCTCTCTGGGCAGTGGGGCACGTGTGCCCATAAGGCAGGTGCTGTCCCTGGTCTTGGAACTTCTTATGAAACCAGCCTGCCCGGCACCTCCTGCCATCCCTGTGAGGTGATGGGACAGGTGCTAAGCCTGCCCTTGGACAGATAAGAAAACTGCAGCCCCAGGCACAGAGGCACAAGCTGAGAGGTGACGTCAGGACTGAACTGTGAGCCTGGGAGTCCAAATCTAGGCTCACCCAGTCTTTCTGGCTCCAGTGAGGGCCCGCCACTGTCATCCGACGGATGGCATGTGTGATTTTTGGCACACGCCTGTGCAGGTGACTCCCACAGGTGCCCCGGAGGGAGGCGCTGCTGTGATGTTCATGCTACATGCAGGAAACAGAGAGGTTGAGTGACTTGCCCACAGCCCCACAGCTCCTACCTAGTGAAGCCTGGTTTGAGGCCACACCTGCCTTACTAGTTTTATTATTTATTTATTTTTTGAGACTGAGTTTCACTCTGCTGCCCAGGCTGGAGTGCAGTGGCGCAGTCTCGGCTCACTGCAGCCTCCGCCTCCGGGGTTCAAGAGATTCTGCTGCCTCAGCCTCCAGAGTAGCTGGGACTACAGGCGCCAGCCACCACACCCAGCTAATTTTTTGTGTTTTTAATAGAGACGGGGTTTCACCATGTTGACCAGGCTGGTCTTGAACTCCTGACCTCTGGTGATCTGCCTGCCTTGGCCTCCCAAAGTGCTAAGATTACCTGTGTGGGCCATCATGACCAGCCACTATTATTTTTTAAATTGTGGTAAAATATAACATAATATTTATCATTCTAGCCAGTTGTGAGTGTACAACTCTGTGGCATTTCATCCATTCATGATGAGGTATAGCCACTGCTGCTCCCTATACCCAAACATTTCCAGAGTCCTCAGCAAAACCTGGGTACCCATTAAACAGCAACTCCTCCCAGCCCCTGGTAACCTCTGTTCTTCTTTCTGTGTCTGTGGATTTGACTTCTCTGGGCACCTCATGTGAGCGGAATTGTACGGCATGTGTGTCTTCATGTCTGGCTTATCTCACCCAGCAAATGTCGTCTAGCTTCATCTGTGTTGTAGTGTGTGTCTGAGCTTCCTTCCTTCTTAAGGCTCAATACTATTCCAATGTGTGAAGAGACCACATTTCGTTTATCTGTTCATCTGTTTGGTGACTGAGCTCCCTCCATGCTCTCCAACAATAATCATGCTCCTCCACAGACAGGTGTCTTGGCTGATGGTGTCAGAGACCCCCTGGCAAGCCGCTGCTATGGGAGGGGTCTTCTCCCTCTCATGCCACCCAAGGAGACTCTGTGGGGTCCCTGCAGACCCCGCAGCATGGTCAGGGGCTCTGACTGGAGGCTGTTCCCTCCAACAGGACTCAGCAGTCAGGGTCTCCCAGGGAACCCCTGTATGCAGACTCTGGGAAGACAGGTGGATCAGGTGTGGGGACTGTCTGTCCCTCAGGAGCTGCTGGTTGAATGAATGCGACTGTCTCCTGCTGGGACACGCCTCTGCCTCAGGCTCTGGGCAGTGGGGGACGTGTGCCCCTAAAGAAGGTACAACCCCCGGTCTTGGTGCCTGGAGTCATAAGATCCATAGACACAGGGCAAGAGGGGCTTCCTGGGCACCCGCCGTGTGCAGGCTCTGCGTGAGGCACAGGGTTCGGGACTCAGTGGTGAATAAACTGCCATCCCCTTGTGGGGAAGAAGGGCAGGTGCACCTAGCTTACGCGTTCACTTGACAAGCAAGTATTGAGTGCCTTCTGTATACAGGTCTGCAGCTGGTGCTGGGGGCCGGCCTTTGGATCTGGTGTCCACCCCCTGACCTGGGCCCAGGCCCTCCCCATCGTCCTCTGCCGTAGGAGGTATCAGAGAGCAAGTACCTTCCTTAGTCACACCCATCACGTACATAGTGGATGTGCCTCTTTTTCGGGGCAGGGGGTAATCTTAATCACCAAGCAATTACTAAATGCCGACCATGTTCTCAGGCTTGGCAGAGGTGGGTGCTTGTTACCCCAAGGGACAACCACTTCCCTCCATGCTCCCCACCCCACCCAAGACCCTTCTCCACTCCACTCCTGACTGCCGCCTCCCACCTCTGCCCTGGGTCGCTGTCTTTATTGTCTTCCTCAACATCTTCCATGGGAAAGGCCAATGGCTTGAAACAGGATTGACGAGACACCCGGGGCCTGCTCCACACCCGTGGGCTCCTGGGCGTGCACCCAAGAGCCTCCACCCCTGAATGGCTGGCATCCAGGTGGGCTTCCCATAAGGAGCCCCCTTCTGCGGGCCTGGGAGGGTGGGGAGCCTGTGGCGAGGTGGCGGGGAAGAGAAAGGGCACAGGTGCCCCCTCACTCCGAGCCTATCGGATCCCGGAGACTTGCAGGCTATAGACCTAGAGGTCCAGCCAGGAGGGCTGGCAGGGACCATGAAGCAGGAGACGTCAGGGCAGAGAGAATGCCTTTTAGAGCCAGATAAATTCTTACTTCCCCTTTCCCAGCTGCGTGACCCTGGGAAACTTCAACACTCCGTGTCTCAGTCCTCTCATCTGTAAAATGAATCTGATGAGAACTGTGTAAGAATAGAGGTGTGTGGAGAGCTCTCTGGTGCCAGGCTCATGGCAAGACTGTGGTGACACCAGCCATCGGAAGGCAGGGAGGCTCCTCTGTGGACAGCTGGATGCACAGGTGCGTAGCAGGAGCTCAGGAGGGTGTGCCCGCGGAGTCGCAGGTAAGGGAGCCACTCCAGATTGCAGAGCTTGGCTTGGAGGTGTCGCCTCAGGAGGGTCTTCCATTGCCTGGAGACCCCACATAGGCCCTCTTCTTCCTTCAAACACAGCCCCCAACCTCTCTGCAGGGAAGTCCTCCCTGACCTTCCAAACCAGGGCAGACCCTTGTCTGGGCTCCGTCGGCCTGGACATGGTGCCATTTCCCACTAGTGGGGCAGAAGCCTGTCTACTTCAGTCTCCCTTGTGTCCCCAAGCAATGGGGACTTGAGCATAAACGTTCATGAGTGACACATTTATATTGATAGGCAGGGCCACACTGTGGGAGGAGCTGGTGGCCTGAGAACCCCTGTGAACAGCAGGGTGACACGTGGCCTCTGGTGATCCCTTTTGGGAAACGTCTGAGAGTCTGAGGCTGTCAGGCCCCTGACGCTGACTCATGGCTGGGACAACCTTGAGAGAGTCACTGCTCTATTTCCCCATCTGTCAGCCAGGGGCTTGGCATGGGTGTTCTCTGTGGGTCCTTCCAGCACTGAGGTTCTGAGGTCATTGTTGCAGGGGTAGACGACTCTGGGGTGGCAGGTGGGGCTGCCGTAATCTTGGGGGAATGAGCTTTGCTTTAGGTGAGGCTGTGCAGAGGCATCTGTGTCGAAGGAGACCAAGGCCTGCTCTGCTTGCCTCCCTGCAGCTGGCTGGGCTCCTTGCTCTCCAAGGTTCCTGGACTTTCCTCCAGACCCGAGTGCAAGCTCCCTGTGGCTTCCACCCACCGCTCACAGGAGTCTCTGCAGCCACCAGACCCAGAGCCCAGACACCATCCACTGTCGGGGAGAGGCACGTGTCCACAGCTTCCTGGAATGCAAGGCTGCATGTGGCCAGGGCTGCTGCCCGCTGAGGGGCAAGTGCATGCCTGGAGACCACAGTAAGGAGCCAGTCTCATGCTCTGGGAGTTTAGATAAGGCTTCATGCCCCTTGGAGCCAAACCTCTGAATTCCATGGAGTTGTTGGGTCAAAGAGCTTGCCTAGGTCTGAGTTGTGGATACCTGTTGTCAATGAGCTCTCCACAAAGGGGTTACCATGATAGGTCCCACCACCTGTACCTCTCCTCTCCAAATTTCACCACTGTTCTTTCACACCTTTGCCAATTTGGTAAGTGCAAAATGATATTTTAGTTGTCTATGCTTACACTGATTGGAGGAATGCTTTAAGTTTGATTATTGGTAAGTGAAACATTTTGTTACCTGTATTTACTGATCCCACTTTCCTTTTATGAATGTCCCAGTTACATCTTTTGTCCATTTTTCTATTATTGTGTTTCTTGTTCTTACTGATTTGTAAGAGCTCTTTGTATATTCAGGTTATGAAGAGGGTCAAGGTTTATTCATGAATGACATTTCTCTTTTCTGAAGGGGGCAAATGGAGCATTTACTCCTTTCTCAAAGTGAGCTGATATTTGAATTTATTATTGTCTATTTTTCCATACTCTGTTTTACACTTTTCTTTGCACTTTGTAGCTGTCTGGGCACAGATGCCACCGAGAGAGCTAGAAAAAGTCACAAGGAGATCTTGGTCTCAGAGCAAAGGGCCCGCATGTAACGGCTTTGTAGGTCCCAGTGTGCAGGAGAGGATGTCTGAGTTCATGCTCTGGGTGCTTTCCCTGGCCGGCAGATGACAGGGAAGGAGCAAGCCCCAGTCCCTCCCCAACACACACAGCCCCTGCCCCCGACCAAACACGAAGTCACTTCTTTGGGGACAAGCAGATTTTTCAAACAAAGTTTGCCAAATATGCACATTTTTTTTTTTTCTCCAGGGCAGATGCAAACGGTCTTTTCAAATCAGTTTGGAGGAAAATAAATGAGCCCACGCTGAGGCTTCAATAAATCTTTGCGTAGCCACAAGGGTGAGTTTTGGGCCCGATGAAGGGCCCAGTGTGTGGCTTATGAATGATGCCCAGTGACGGCTCTGCTGCCCCCGCCTTCCCCTCTTCCCCTCCTCCGTCCCCCAACCCAATTTAAACTTGGACATTAATGTTTTAAGACAAAGGGACCTTTGGGCATTTCTCCCCCTTGTGGAGGAAGTCTCTCCGGTGAATTATTTGTCGTGGCTGTGCTCGGCGTGTGATGGGGGCTCGTGTCTCCGAGCCAGGGCCTGTCTCCAGGAGATGATCCATGTGCCGCCCTCCTGCCCTGGGGGCTCCAGGACCCCCAGCCCCAGATGCAGACAGGACTGTGGTCCCCCGAGGGGATTATTCCTCCCTGCCTGCCATCCCTGCTGGATCCTGGATCGTGCTGGCAGCAACCCAGTGTGGCTCACATAGACATCGCCTCTTGATGGGTCTCCCTGCCTTAGTCCCCATCCATTCTCCAAAGTGGGGGTGGCCGAAGGATGGCGTGAGAGGCTCTGAGCCTGCCTTTCCCCTGAATATCCCTGGATCAAGCCCAAAGCCTTAGCTTAGCATCCTGGTGACATCTCTGCTCTCATCTCCCTTCCTCTCCCTGGTGTGGACACTGCACCCACCACCAGCTCTGAGCACATGGCCCATTGGCTCTGCAGGGGCCCTCCTCTCTGTCTGCAGTGGCCACCTTGCCACCAGGCCCACCTGAAGGAACCGTGCCTCTCTTTACGGACTGACCCCAAGGTTTGCCCATGCTTGGAGGTCTGTCTGACTTTGCTTTCCTGATGCCTGGCAGTGGACCACCATGCCCACTTGTCGGTGGCTGTGTAGCTCATACTCACTCCATCTGGCAGTTTCCACCCACCGAGGACCACTCAAGTTTGCCCCACTCCATGTCTGCTGTTGGGAGGGGATGGTGCATCCCACAAGCAACAGGAGCCACGGAGCTGGGGGCTGGGGCTGTCAGCCTGGATGGGCCAGGAGGGGACCTTGCTGTGCCTAGTGGAAGAGTAGGTGGTCCCCTACTGGCTCCAGGCCGCTGGGTGGGTCACTTGCCCATCCCTGCCTGGGTGTCTATAGTGGGTGTTCCCGCCAAAATTCATGTCCCCCTGGAACCTCAGAATGTAACCTTATTTGAAAATAGGGTCTTTGCAGATATAGTTAAGTAAGGATCTTGAGATGTGGTCATCCTATATTGGGGGAGGGGACAGTAAATACAATAAATGTCCTTGGGAAAGACAAAAGAAAAGACCCAGCCACAAAGAAGAAGGCCATGTGGAGACAGAGGCAGGGATGGGGGTGATGTGGCTACAAGGCGTGGAACTCAGAGCCCCCAGAAGCTGAAGGAGGCGGGAAGTTTCCTCCCAAGAGCTGCCAGGGGTGGGGCGGGGCAGAGGTGGCATGCGGAATGCTCTGCCCACACTGGATGTATGAATCTGTTCTCATGCTGCTAGTAAAGACATACCTGAGACTGGGTAATTTATAAAGAAAAAGAGGTTTAATGGACTCACTGTCCCACGGGGCTGGAGAGGCCTTATAATCATGGTGGAAGGCAAAGGAGATGCAAAGTCGTGTCTTACGTGGCGGCAGGCAAGTGAGAGAGAGCATGTGCAGGGGAATTCCCCTGTATAAAACCATCAGGTCTCGTGAAACTTACTCACCAACACAAGAGCACAGGAAAGACCCATCCTCATGATTCAGTTACCTCCCACTAGGTCTCTCCCAGGACATGTGGGGATTATGGGAGCTACAATTCAAGATTTGGGTGGGGATACAGCCAAACTGTATCACTTGATTTCAGGATCCTGGCCTCCAGGAGTGTGAGAGGGCAAATTTCTGTTGTTTTAAGCCACCTGGTTTGTGGCAATCTCTTCCAGCAGCCCCAGGAAATGAACACAGGGTCCATTGCCAACAGTCCTAAAATCATTTTTGAAGGAAGCATTTCTCAATTTCCAGGTTTCCTTCAAGTAGAGCAGGTCCTTTCCACTGCTGCCACCCAGAGCACTCGTCTGTGAGCCCAGAGAGCTTCAGGCACCATCTCCTCTGCCCTTACAGCTGCCCTGGAAGAGAGAGGCCCATGTTGCCCCCTCTTCATGGACCAAAAAATTGAGCCCCAGAGAGATAGGCACATGATCAAGGCTTCAGAGCTTGACCACTTGGGCTGACTCCCTGTGACTTGGGCCAGGCCACAGGGGGAAGCAGCAGACAGGCTGTCTATATTCACAGAATCTGGTTTTGTGGCTCCACACACTGCTTGTACCTGGGTGGGAGCTGGTAGACTTCACTGCTACCAGAATGTTCACCCAGGAGGCAGTCAGAATGCATTGAATGAATGACTGCCTGACTATGAAGGAATGAATTGATGATGCAGCCAGTCTGGCAAACTCCAGGGATGACGATCACTTTTACCATTTGGACCAACCAACCAATCGGTTAAATTACCATTCAGCCAACCAACCAACCAACCAACTAACCAACCAACCAACCAATCAATCGGTTAAATAACCAACCAACCAACCAACCAACCAACCAACCAACCAACCAACCAACCAACCAATCAACCAACCAACCAACCAATCAACTAACCAATCAGCCAACCAATTCAATAAGCAACTAACTAAACAACCTAACAACCAACTAACTAATTAACCAATTAAATAACCAACTAACCAACCAACCAATTAAATAACCAACTAACCAATTCAATAGCCAATCAATTGATCAATTAACAAACTCATCTCTCCCTCCCTACCTTTCTGCCTTAATGGGAGTGGCTCTTGTTCCCCTTGCAGGGCTCCCAGTCCATAAGTGCCTTTGGCATACTCCATTTGGGAAGTGGACAGCTCATCTCATTTTCTAAGAACACCTCTGGATTATGCCCCTTGGTGATGTAGCCACCTTCCACTCAGTGATGGTCAACATCTGGAGGTGTAAATAGAATACAGATGAATCCAGACTTGGAGCAGGCCATGGGGTATTCTTAAAGACTCCATGTGTGTCTTGGAGTAGCCCATGTCATATTCAGAATCACAGCTGGGGCTCCAAATCCCACTGGCCTACCCATTAATCTATCACTGTAGACTAGTGGTAGAATTGGTGACCAGATATTCTAGTCTGGGATATGATCTTGGGATCTTAAGAGAACTTTCTGCACTTCAAGGTCCAGTTTCTTCACCCAGAGAAGGGGCTGCCAGGTATACCACGAGATGAGAGTTCCTCCACAGGGGGACACAATTGCAGCAGAGATGGCCAAGGGCAGGAACTCCTACTATCCTCATTTATATATGAGGCAAACAAGACTTGGAGAATTCAAGTGACTTGCTCAAGGTAATGCAGCCAGCCTCAAAGAAAGGGAGCCGAGATTAAAACCCTGGCCCACATGCTCCAGAGCTGGGAGGCTTTTCTGTAGGCCCATCAGGAGATAAGTTATGTCTCCTGGCTGAAGGCCACCTTCCACCTCCCAGCCCCCAAGCCAATTGCATCAGACATAAAGATTTGTTTCAGGGTGTCTTGTTGGTTTTCCAGCTCCAACCTGGCTCAGGATCTCCTTTTGTTTTTTGGACTCATTCCCAGTGCAGAGGTGCCTGGGCTATTAATAGCAGAGGAATCTGGGCTCCATCACCAGCCTTTCCATCCATCCATCCATCCATCCATCCATCCATCCATCCATCCATCCATCAGTCCATCTCATATCTATTTGTCTCCAACATCTGGTTTAGTATAAACATCGATAGAATGAACAAATGCACCAGTGGGCCTTGTGTTGGACACTTTCTGTGTCCTGCCTCAAATCATCTCCACCTTCCTTACTGCAGCCCTTCTGCTGACAGCTGGCTGCATGGGGGCAAAAATCTGACAACACCCACTCCTGCTGCCACAGTCTGTCCTTTCTGCTCTGGGGTTCTCTGCTGCAGTGCCTTTGGGAGCTTCTCAGCCATCTGACTCATGCTGGCGAGGTGTGCACTCTGCAGCAGCGCCAGCTGTAAGACACACCCTCAGATGGGCTTGTCCTCTTGCCCTGTTTCATGCCTCCTGGTCCCTGTTTCTGGGCCTTATCCCCAAAACGTGACACTTGAGTAAGCCCTTTTCTAAGGCTCAGGCAGATCCAAAAGCACATTTAAATATTTTCAGGATTCTGCCGATTTAGAGCAACTAGGATTCCAAAGAAGGAAAACTTACTCAATCAGTTTATTGTCAGAGGCTCCACATCATTCATTTGTTTATTCATTTTTTCGCTTATTCATTCAGTCAGGCCACAAGTTTCTTCAGGACTGGGATCATGCTTGTCCCCATTCTGTTCCTAATGGAGGCTATCCATGTAGTAGTCGCTGGCAAATAACTCTTAGTGACTTAAGTTCAGGAGGCAGAAGCATGGTGAAGGGGGCAGATACTGGGCCAGAAAGACATGCATTCCAATCCCAGCTCTACCACTTTGTAGAAGTGGGGTCTTGGGCATGTCATTTCACCTCTCTGAGCTTCAGTTTTCCCATATGCAAAATGGGCATAAAGATAGCAATTTGAGGGGTTCCTGTGGGGCTGCAATGAGACCTCATGCATCAGGCCCTTCACACAGAGCCTGGCGAGGGCTCATGGTGAGGGATGGGCTGTCACTAATGTGACTGGGAGCAAGCAGCCTTGGGCAGTTGGGCTGGATGTCTGGGGCCTGGCACCCGAACTCTTTTGGCCTGCCTCAGTACCCGAGGCTGCCCGACACATTTCTTGGCCTTAGAAACAGCCAAGAAAATCAGCAGCCCCTGGCTCATCGGTAGAAACCCAAAGAAACAAACACCTTGGTGGCCAGGAGGGGATGGGCACCTTGCCCTCCCAGCGGGACAGCTGACAGCAGGCCTGATGCAGTGATCACAGGCATCTGTGGGGGTGACTAGCCTTGCCCTGGCTGTGTGAGACATTTCCTTGGGAAAAGTCTTGCTCCTTTATGTGCATGTCAGCTGGCTGTGAAATGAGAACTTCTGAGAGGCTTAAAGAAACCCACCCAATCTTTGGAGATCTCTGCCGCCCTCTTCAAGTCTCAATAGCATTTTTCTGCCGACGGCTCGTGACTCACAGAGGCTACATTTGTGACTTTCGTACCCTCAGAATTGGATTTAAAGATAATAAAAATTTCCAATAGGAAAAAAAAATGTCTGGGTTCTGACATTATGCTAAGTCTCCACCTTTTGGGGCTGAGTGCCCAGTGGGGCAAATGCGGGTCACTTTCTTGACAGGCCCAAGGAAGGGTCTCCTTCCAGCAGGAACCTTGGATTCTCGAATCAGTATCTTTCCTGATGCCCAGTGTGAGGTGCAATTCTTGAAAGAACAGACCAGATCAGTTTTTTTTCTGTTCTTTTCTTATCATCAGTTTGTTTTAGCTGTCTTTCAGCAAAAGTTTCATGCATTTCATTTCCTTATGTAGTCCTGACATCATCTCTTAAGAGCAAGACACTGGGATCATGCCCATTTCACAGATGGAGAAAGTGAGGCTCAGGAAGAGGAAATAGCTTGTTCAAAATAGTGCAGCTGGAAAGCAGAGTGTCTGGGACCTGAACCCAGGGCAGCCACCCTGCACCAGCCATGTGTCAGAGCCTTTCTCAGCTCCCACCTGGGCAGGTCATCCCACAACCCTTCGTTTCCTGGCCCCAGCCAGTGGCATCTGAGCTGAAGACGGAGGGCTGAGGATGAGGCTGATGGCTTGTGGCTGGTTGGAGTCTCCACAGACCTGTACCCCACTGCGAGCTTCCATGAGCTGCTGGCGCCTCACAGCCCTGGGCCTGAGCCTAGGTGGGGTCACTCAGGGACATGGGCCTGCCTGCTGCTGAGGCTCTCATTCCTGGAGAGAGAGCCCAGGGAGGGAAGGTGGTGGGGGAACCTCGGGGTTGGAGGCGTGGGCCCCCAAGCATGTCCCGTCCTGCAGACACTCCCTGCTGCCCGGGCTGACCATGGGGGCATCCTGCCTGGTGCCAGCCAGCCCAGCCTTGTCTAGCCTGCCTCTGCCAAGTGGCCCATTTGACTGTCCCCATCTGTTTGCCCATGGAGTCCGGAGGGTGTGCCCTGGCCCAGAGCCCAGCTGCAGCCTGGGAAACACCAGACTCCATCCATGGCTCTTTGTTTTATACTTTATCCAATAGGCAGTAAGGACCTCAGAGAGCATCAGGTCCAGACCTCTTGCCCTGCACAAATGGAGAAACTGAGGCAGAGAGAGGGAAGGGGCAGGTCAGAGGCAGTATGGGGTTGAGTCCTGCGCTCTTTCAAGATTCTGTTGGCTAAATCCATTGTCCCCAGAAGCCCTTGTGCATGTAGTTTTCCATGCCGTGATGGGGGCTGGGGAGTCCCTTGGCATCAAATGGGTGGTTTGGATTCTGCTGAGGGGTCCACCTGCCTGGTGAGCAAGAGACCAGGAGCCAGGAGCCAGGAGAATGGGGAGGCTCAGGGCCAGCCGCCCACCTCCCTTGGGCACCTTAATATACGCAGCTTGTGTATATACATACACTTGTGCAAGGAGCTTTACGTCCTGCCTTTGTCCATTCAGGCTGCTGTAACAAAACACCATAGATGGGTGGGCGGCTCGTAAATAACAGATGTTTATTCTGGAGGCTGGAAGTCCAAGATCAAGGCGTCAGCAGATTCAGGGTCTGGTGAGGGCAGGCTGGTTCGTAAACCACACTTTCTCACAGGGTGGAAGGGGTGAGGTGTCTCTCTATGGGGTCTCTTTTATAAGGGCACTCATCCCTTTCATGAGAGCTCTGTCCCCCTAAGCTAATCACCTCCGAAAGGCCCCATTTCCTAACACCATCACCTTGGGGGTTTGCATTTTGGGGGAACATAAACAATCAGACCATAGCAGTCCTCCACTCAATACCCATGCCTGGCTAGTGGGTACCCGTGTCTGGCTAGTGGGTACCTGTGTCTGGCTGGTGATACCTGTGTTTGGCTAGTGGATACCTGTGCCTGGCTAGTGGATACCCCTGTCTGACTAGTGGGTACCCGCATCTGGCTAGTGGATATCCCTGTCTGGCTAGTGGGTACCAATGTCTGGCTAGTGATACCTCGTGTCTGGCTAGTGATACCTGTGTCTAGCCAGTGATACCTGTGCCTGGCTAGTGGATATCCATGTCTGGCTAGTGAGTACCCGCATCTGGCTAGTGATACCGGTGTCTGGCTAGTGGGTACCCATGTCTGGCTAGTGATACCTGTGCCTGGCTAGTGGATACCCGTGTCTGGCCAGTGGGTACTTGTGTCTGGCTAGTGATACCCCGTGTCTGGCTAGTGATACCTGTGTCTGGCCAGTGATACCTGTGCCTGGCTAGTGGATACCCGCATCTGGCTAGTGATACCTATGTCTGGCTGGTGGGTACCCATGTCTAGCTAGTGGCCAATACCCAGAGGCACCCAATTCACATTTTGTCTCCTTTGGCAGAAGATGACCTGTTTGCTGAAATGAAACCTCTTTTCTGGGGACACCCTCTGACCACCAGAAATCGGGCTGCTCTTATGCAGGGGGTGAGTTTTGATGAGATGGGAACAATTTCAGGATTGAGCTTCTCCTGGAGGAAACAAAGTGCCTCACGTAGGGAGAAGCAAGGGGCTTAAAAGTTGGGAGAGAGAGAGAGTGTCAAAGACAAAACTCAGGGGCAGGGTGTCGGACAGAAATCCAAGGTGAACCTCAAAGGCATGATGTCACGTTTTCTTGTAGTCACATTAAAAAAAAAAAGAACAAATAGGCAAAATGTATTTTAATAATATATTTCATTTAATTCAATCGATCCAAAATGCAATTGTCTCAGCACATAACTACTATAAAGCATTCTTTTTTGATATTTTTATTGATATAGTTGTATGCATTTGGGAGTCGTGACATTTTGATCAATGTACACAATGTGGAATAATTAAGTTAGGGTAATTGGGATATGCACCACTGCAAATATTTATCTTTTCTTTTTCCTTTCTTTCTTTTTTTTTTTTTTTTGAGACGGAGTCTCGCTCCGTCACCCAGGCTGGAGTGCAGTGGCGCGATTTCAGCTCACTGCAAGCTCCGCCTCCCGGGTTTATACCATTCTCCTGCCACGGCCTCCCGACATTTATCTTTTCTTTGTGTGGGAACATTACACGTTTTCTCTTCTAGTTAACATAAAGCATTATTAATGAGATATTTTACACCTTTTTTTTTTTTTTTTTTTTTTTTTGGAAAAAGCCTTCAGAATTCGACACCTCTCTATTTGGACCAGCCACATGTGAAGTGCCTGGAGGCTGTGACGGGGCAGTGGCTGTCATGGTGAACTGCTATGTAGTGATTCTAGAGTCAGATAGAGATGGGTTTGAGACCTGCGTGTGCCACTAACTGCCTGTGTGACTTACGGGTGCCAAGTACTATTCTAAGAGCTTTACACATATGAATTCACCCAGTCTTAGGAAGTAGGGTGCTGTTATCATCCCTCCTTTTTTTTAAGTTGAAGACATGAGGGCACAGAGAGGTTAAGTGATTTGCCCACAGCTACACAGCTATTGAGAGGTAGGGCCGAGATCTGAACCCCGAGTTTGATTTGTCAGAAGTGCTTTGTAAACTGTTTCACAAAGCCTGATCATTAATCAATCAGCGAGGCAACTCATAGAGTAGCTCCCTGGGAATGGAGCCATTGAGTGTCGCCATGCCCTGGGAATTCACCGCAGCTCAGCAGACATTTATTAGATGCTTGCTCCTTGCCAGCTATAGGGGAGCCTGGGGCAGACCTGAGTTTTTCTGCCAGGGACTGTTTTTTCCCGGCCTTCCCACGGAGCCCCTCCTGCTTGCTGGGTGTCCACCCAGAGCCCTCGTGGGCTGGGCTCCCCCACCCTGGCCTCCACCCTGCCTCAGCCTCGCCCGAGAGCTCACATGTTCAGGCCGAGACCTGCGCCAGCCTGGGCATTCCTGCAAGTGGGGGAAAGCTGGGCCCACATCCACGGACAGTCTTGTGGCCCAGCCCGCCCTGTGGCCGGGCAGGATTTTTGCCCAGGAATCTGCAGGGTGCTCCCTTGTCTCTGGGGCCTCCTGGGTCCCTGGAAACAGGTGCTGGTTTTAATAGCCGAGTCAGTTTCTGGTCTGGGTTTGATTCTCCTGACCCACGGAGCTCAGCCCCTCCCTCCTTCTCTTCCCCTGTGTCTCATTTATCCACCTAAAAGCCATTGAACACTATTTTCTACAGTTGAGTTTTAACGTATATAAGTAGCATGCACACATTTTAGGTGGACAGCCAGGGGATATTAACTTACGTTTACACCCATGCAACTACCGCCTGGCTCAAGGTAGTAAGGATTTCCAGCCCAGCAAGGTTGCCCTGTGCCCATTCCCAGCCAATAGCCCCCACTGCAGGTCACCACTCATCTGAGTTTTGTCTCTGTAGATGAGTTCTGCCTGCCCTTGAACTTCATAACAGTGGAATCCTCCAGTATGTGGTCTTTTCTATTTGTTTCTTTTGAGCAACATGAACTTTTTGAGATTCATTCATTTTGTTGTGTGTATCCATGATTTTTTATTTTATTTTTAAAAATTCCTGAGTAGTCTCTCTTTGTAGGAATTTACCATGGGTTTGTTCATTGTTTTTGGCATTGGGCTGTTTTCATTTTGTTTTGTTTTGTTTTTGTTTTTAGACAGGATCTTGCTCTGTCACCCAGGCTGGAGGGCAGTGACGTGATCTTGGCTCACTGCAGCCTGGACCTCCAAGGGCTCAAACGATCCTCCCACCTCAGCTTCCCAGGTAGCTGGGACCACAGGCACGCGCCACCACACCCAGCTAATTTTTGTATTTTTTGTAGAGATGGGGTTTTGCCATATTGCCCAGGCTGGCCTTGAACTCCTGGGCTCAAGCCATCTGCCCGCCTCAGTCTCCCAAAGTGCTGGGATTACAAGTGTGAGCCACAACGTGCCTGGCCCTTGGGCTGTCATTACTAAAACGTGTATAGCATTCCAGTACGCATCCTGGGTGGACACATACATGCACTGTTCTCTAGGACTGAAAATGCTGGCCTGAGCACTGTAGTTGTTTAACTTTAGTAGATCCCACCACTCAGTTTGCCAAAATGGCCTATTTCCTTTCCTGCTTCCAATGACAAGGCAGGAAGGTTCTGGTTGTTCCACATCCTCGCCTACATTTGGTATGGTCGTTTTTTTTTTTTAATTTTAGCCATTCTGTTGGGTGTGCTATAATTATGGTTTTAACTGCATTTCCCTGATGACTAACGATATTGAGCACCTTCTCATATTCCCAGTGGCTATCTAAACATCTTTTGTGAACTGCCTGTTCAAGCCTTTCCCTCACTTTAAAAACATTTGGGGCTGGGTGCGGTGGCTCATGCCTGTAATCCCAGCACTTTGGGAGGCCAAGGCAGGTGGATCACCTGAGGTCGGGAGTTTGAGACCAGCCTGACCAACATGGAGAAAACCCGTTTCTACTAAAAATACAAAAATTAGCCAGGCGTAGTGGCACATGCCTGTAATCCCAGCTACTTGGGAGGCTGAGGCAGAAGAACCACTTGAACCAGGGAGGCGGAGGTTGCAGTGAGCCGAGATGGCGCCATTGCACTCCAGCCTGGACGACAAGAGTGAAACTCCATCTCAAACAACAACAACAACAACAACAAAACAGCAACAACACATTCGGTTTTGTCTGTCTTTTTCTAACTCATCTTTAGCAACTGTTTGTATACTCTGATGACAAGTCTTTGGTTGGATCTATGTATCATGAATATCTTCTTTCACTCTGTGACTTGCTTTTTCACTCTGTCTTTAGACGGAGTGTCTTTTGACAGCTTTTCTCTTTTTGATTTCTTAAACTTTTTGGCTTTTTAAAAAAATTAAGCTTTTTATTTTGAGATAATTGTCAATTCACATGCAGTTGTGAGAAATAATACAAAGATATCCCGTGTACTCTTTCATCAGTCTCCCCCCAATGGTAACGTCTTTCAAAACTATAGTACAACCTCGCAACCAGGCTACTGACATTGATCCAGTGAACTAACTGAACGTTTCCATCACCTCGAGGATTCCTCATGTTGCATTTTTATACACACACCTACTCTCCTCGTGTCCCCCACCCTCCTTAACCTTTGGCAACCACTAATCTGTTCTCCATCTCCATAAATTTGTCATTCCAACAATGTTATATAAGTGGATTAATAAATTTGTTTTTTCCCTCAGCATAATTCTTTGGAGATTCATCCAGGTTGTTGTGTCTGTCAATAGGTTCTTCCTTTTATTGCCAAGTAATCTTAGTTTGTTTAATAACTCACTTGTTAAGAACATTTGGATTGCTCTCCAGTTTCTTGCTATTACAATAAGGCAGCTATAAACATTTATGTCCAAGTTTTTGTGTGAACATAAGTCTTCATTTATTTAGGAGTAACTGCCCAGGAATTCAATTGTTGGGTCACATGGTTCTTGCTATATGAAACTGCCAAACTTTTTCAGAGTGGCTGTACCATTTTACAGTCTCACCAGCAATGTAGGAGTGACCCAGTTTCTTCACATCCTCACCAGCACTTGATACCATTATTTTTTATTTTAGCCATTCTGATAGGTGTCTAGTGATACCTCATTGTAGTTTGAATGTGTAGTTGCCTAATGGTTAATGATGTCGAACATCTTTTTATGTACATATTTGCATCTAGGTATCTTCTTCAGGGAAATGTCTCTTTATATCTTCTGCTCATGTTCTAATTGGGTTGTTTGCTCTTTCACTGTTGAGTTTTAAGGGTTCTTTCTATAGCCTGGATACTTCTCTTTTGTAGGATTTGTGGATTGCAAATATTTTCTCCCAGTCTATACCTTGTCTTTCCATCCTCTTAGCAGGGTCTTTGGCAGAGCAGAATTTTTATTTGGATTAAGTCCAGTTTATCAAGTTTTCCTTTTATGGATCGGCTCTGAGAGTCAAGTCTAAGGACTCTTTGTCTACTTCTAGATGCTGAAGATTTTTTCCTCTGTTTTTTTCTAAAAGTATTATAGTTTCACATGTACATAATTCATTATGAGTTACTTTTTGTAAAAGGTGTGAAATTTAGGTTGGAGTTCATTTTATTGCAAATGGATATCCAGTTGCTTCAGCACCATTTTCTATAAATGCTATTTTTCTCCATCGAATTGATTTTATACCTTTGTTAAAAATTAGTGGGGTGTATTCTTGTGAATCTATTTCTGGGTTCTCTGTACTGTTCCATTGTTCTGTATGTTTATTTGTCTGCCAATACCATGAACTTTTGATTATTGTATTATTATTTGATTATATAAGCCTATATATTAAGCTTAAAATCAAGTAGACTAAATGCTCTCACTTTATTCTTATTTTTCAAAATTGTTTTAGCTATTCTAAAACCTTTTCTTTTCTATATACATTTTAGAATAATCTTGTGTATATCTACAAAAAAATCTTACTGAAACTTTGACAGGAATTGCTGTATATCAACCATACCTAAACACTGATTTAGGGAGGATTGTCATCTTTACTATGTTGGGTCTTCTAATCTATGAACATGGTATGTCTCTTCATTTATTTAGATTTTCTTTGATGTCTTTCATAGTGGTTGTGTAGTTTTCAGCATGCAAGTTCTGTATATCAAAAAAATTTACATCTAGTTATTTAATTTTTGAGTGATTTCAATAGCATTGTATTTTTAATTTTTATGTTCACATGTTTACTACTAATACATAGAAATACAATCAGTTTTGTATATTTATCTTGTCTGTCACCTTGCTGAACTAACTTATTAGTTTCTGGGAGGTATTGTTTATGTAGATTCATTGGGATTTTCCACAGCGATAATCATGTTATCTATTTTATTTCTCCTTTCTCATATGTATGGCTTTTGAATTCATGTTAATTATTCTGCAAAGAATTGGTACAATTGTCCAGTAAAATCATCCAGGCTTGGAGATTTCTGAAATGATGTCTTTAATTTCCTTAATAGTTATAAGGCTATGCAAATTATCTATTTCATATTGGGTGAGTTGTGGTTAAGAAGTTGATTTATCTAAGTTGTCAAATTTATGTGTGTAGAGTGGCTCATAGTATTCTATTTTATCTTTTTGATGTCTGCAGGGTCTGTAATGATATTCCCGGTTTCATTCTTCATGTTGGCAATTTGCATCTTCTCCTCCTTTTTTTCGTTATCAGTCTTGCTAGAAGTGTGTCCATTTTATTGTTCTCTTCAAAGAGACAGCTCTTTTTTCATTGATTTTATTTTTTTTCAATTTTATTCATGTCTGCTGTTCTCTATTATTTCTTTCTTCTGCTTTCTTTGGGTTGATTTTTCTCTTCTTTCTCTAGTTTCTTGAGGTGGGAACTTAGACTATGGTTTTGAGGCTTTTCCTTCTTTTTGATCATAGGTATTTTGTAGTATAATTTTTCCTCTCAGCATTGTTTTAGCTGTGTCACACAAACACTAGTGTGTTGTATTTTCATTTTCATTAAGTTCAATGTATTTTTCTGTCTTCCTTGAAACTTCCTCTTTGATCCAAAGATAATTTAGAAGTGTGTTGTTTAGTTTCCAAGTGTTCAGAGATTTTCCTGTTATCTTTCTGTTACTGATTTCTAGTTTGATTTCATTGTGTTTGGAGAACATACCCTGTATGATTTATATTTTTTAAAGTTTTTTAGATTGCTTTATGGCCCAGGATATGGTCTATCTATTTTACATGAGCACTTGAAAAGAATGCATATTTTTCTGTTATTGAGGGGAATGTGTTGTAAATATTGATTAGATCCTGGGAGTTGACAGTGTTGAGTGTTTTAGTATTCTTGTTGATTTTCTGTCTAGTTCTATCAATTGTAGAGAGAAAAGTGTTGAAATTTCTAACTCTAATTCTGTACTTGTCTATTTTTCCTTTCAGTTTTCTCAGTTTTTCTTTGGTGCTTTGAAGACTTTTTTCTGTCTTTAGTTTTCAGAAGTTTAATTAGTATGTGTCTTGGTGTGGATTTCTTTGGTTTATCCTATTTACGGTTTGTTCAGCTTCTTGAATCTGTAAGTTTGTGTCTCTTCACAAATTTAGGAAGTTTCCAGCCATTATTTCTGTAAGCATTTTTTCACTATCATGCTCTTTCTCCTTTCCTTCTGGAACTCCAGAAACTTAAATATTAGATTTTTTGTTGTGTTTCTTGACTCTTGGTTCCTTTTGTTGTGTCCCTGAGGCTCTGTTATTTTTTATTTCAGTCTCTTTTCTCTGTGTTGTTCAGATTCAGTAATTTCTGTTATTCTGTCTCCCACTTCACTCTTTCCTCTGTCCTTTCCATTCTTCTGTTCAAGGTGTCAGTGAATTTTTCATTTCTCATACTGTATTTTTCAGTTCTAAAATTTTCCATTTGGTTCTTCTTATCTTCTATTTCATTGCAAAGGCTTTCTATTTTTTATTTGCTTCAAGTGTATTCATAATTGATCCTGGAAGCATTCTGTCATGGCTACTTTAATTATTTTCAGGTAACTCTAACATCTCTGTCATCTTGGTGTTGGCACCTATTGATTGTTGTTTTTCATGCAGCTTGAGATCTTCATGATTCTTGGTATGATGTGTGATTTCCAGTTGAAACTGGGATGTTTCTGTATTATTTAGATCCTGTGGTTCATCTGGATTGTTTTTCTTTTGACATTGCTTTGGCAAGAGAAGGGGGTCTGCTGCCTCATTATTGATAGGTGGAGGTAAAATTAATTTTGGTGCATGGTATAAATTAGAGGTAGGAGTTCATTTTCCCCCATTGGCTCTCTGGTCTCCCCAGCATTATTTACTGAAAAGATCACCCTTCCTTTCCCTTGATTACAGTTGTCCTTATGTCTTAAATCAGAAGACTGTGTAGGTGAGGGTCAGCTCTAGACTCATTGCTTCATTGCTAGTGTCAACTATGGGCCAGGATCCAGGGCTTGGAACCAAGAACCTCTTTGGATTAATGCCTATTAAGATAATATTGAAAATGAAGTAAGTGCAATGGAGACTCATCATTGCATTACAGAGACAGAAGGGGCCCCCAAACTAATCTGGAGTGGTGTACAGGATCAGGGAAGTTGCCCTGAAGTTGATAAGCAGAATGTGGAAGGATGGGCAGGAGTTGTCTAAGAGAAGAGTGTGGCAATAGAAGGGCACCCTGGGCCACAGGGAACAAACCATAGCTGAAAGATGAGGAGTCAAGAAATATTCTGGCACCCATGGGGTACTATTAGCAGTTTAACTTTACAGGAGCTGAAAATTTAAGAAGGGGAATGTCAAGAGATGAGGCTGAACCTTGGCAGGGATGGATCCTTGGACCACATCATGTAGTTGACCCTGTCACATAGCTTGGACTTCACCTTGTGGGTGACAGGAGGCCACCAGGGCTGACAGTAGAGGAAGAACATGGCCATGGAATCCTTGGGAGAAGTGGTGTGGGTTCATTGAAAAGGCCAGGGCAGAGGCTGAAAGACTCATCAGGGGAATGTAGCAGTGATCCGCAGGGGTTGTTTAGGGACCAGTCATGACTGTGGCATGGGGCTGGGAAAATGGGGCCATGATGGCACCTGTTTTCACTTGTGGTATGATTGGACTTTAATGTGGTTCCTATGGTCATCCTGGTTGCAGAGCTGGAGTAGACACCAGATCATCTCACTGCAGTCCTCTCAACACACAGAGACAGAGGATGACCATGGGGGTCAGGGGCAAAGTGAGGAAAGTTCTCTAACCCCCTGGGAGAATAGCAGCACCATCAATGGGCAGATCTGTATTAGGGCTCTCCAGAGAAACAGAACCAATAAGATGTGTACATATACAGAAATATATATATATGTATGTGTGTGTGTGTGTGTGTGTGTGTGTGTGTGTGTGTATAGTATACTAGATGAGGCTGACCTACATTAGGGAGGGCAATCTGCTTTACTCAGTCTATGGATTTTAATGTTCATCTCATCCAGCAACACCCTCACAGACATACCCAGAATGTATGACCAAATATCTGGGCACCCTGTGGCCCAGTTAAGTTGACAAATAAAATTAATTATTATGAGTCCACTCTTTCCCATCCCTGTCAGAGGCAGCAGGGTGCACTAGGGACCACAGACTCTGTTCTTCTCAGCATTGACATATTCCATATTTATTTATTTGTTCTGTGTCTCCTCCCAGATGGGACGTCAGCTCTCTGAGGGCAGGGATTTTGGCTGAGATAACCGTGCAGAGACTCTGGGTTCTGAATGGGTTCAGAGGGGAAGGGAACCATGATGGGGATTATCCTCTTCAACATGGAATAATGATGATGAGGATGGAGACAGTAATGATATTATTGTATGATCACTACACAACATGTCTGGTTCAGGCACTTTATGTGTATTAAACTATGAATTCCTTCAACAACCTTATAAGGCAGATATCACTCTTAGCCCCACTTTACAGATGAGGAAACCATGGCCCAGAGAGAGCCAGTAACTTGCTGGGGAACTTGGTTTTTGAGTGGCAGAGCTGGGATTCAGACCTAGAAAGTCTGGCTCCAGAACCCATACACTGATAGAGTATATTTCTGTTCAATATTTATTAAACTCCTGCATGTGTTTGACACTCTGCTAGGCACCAGGGATTTAGGATGGAAAGGACAGTCATTTCCTTGCCTGCCCTCATGGAGCTTCTGATTTGTGGATGGAAGGCATGAACATAGGTGTGGTGGTCATGGTGCCTCCCACCCATCATGAACTTGAACCAAAACAGGAATTCTTTTGTCAGTTTTTTCTATCGGTTTTTGGGGAAGTTTTATTGGAAAAAAAACTTCTAAACAAAAGCTTAAAAAGTATGCTTTATTGTCTTTTACCCTTATTATCGAACCAGTGGAAAATCAGAAAAATACAAGTGCTTACACCAGCAATAAAAAAATATGGTTCTCATCAACACCACCCTTTGCCCCGAGCCCTAGAGTGTCTTTCTCCAAGTTGTCTAAATTTCCCTTCAGTTCCTGGGACCAGCTGAGAGGACAGGGAGCCCACACTTGGCCCCACATGAGACCTGGTTCCATTTCTCTCCTTGGGGCACTCTACAACTTCCCACTCTGCCCGGGTCATGTGTGGAGCTGACTAGATACTTAAAAACAACAACAACAACAACAACAACAACAACAACAAACAATGTTATTTTGTAAGAGCAGTTTTAAGTTCACAGCAAAAATGAGTGGAAAGTAGAGCATTCCCACAGGTCCTCTCTCCCCACGTGCGCAGCCCCGGTTATCAACACGCCCACCAGACTGGTGCATTTGTTACAACTGACGCAGCTACACTGACACGTCATTTCCAGTGAAGTCCAGAGTCTGCATTAGGGTTCCCTATTGGGGCTGCGCCATTTTTCTCACCAGCAGTGAATGAGAGTTCTGCTGCTCCACAT
>NT_187588.1:0-40090 GCF_000001405.40 Homo sapiens
CTGACCCCTTGCACTTCCCGGGTGAGGCAATGCCTTGCCCTGCTTCAGCTCATGCTTGGTGGGCTGCACCCACTGTCCTGCCCCCACTGTCTGACAATCCCCAGTGAGACTAACCTGTTACCTCAGTTGGAAATGCAGAAATCATTTGTCTTCTGCATCGCTCACGCTGGGAGCTGTAGACTGGAGCTGTTCCTCAGACTTGTTTTTTTTCTAAGATAAAAATACTTTAATGTGTATGCTGTTTTCTTCAGTTAATAATTTGAAAAGACTGCATTTATATGGTGAAATTCTCAGGACCCTCAATTCTTTATAGATAGGCTAAATTATTTGTATCATTACTTGCAAACCTTCTTGAATGTGGTGGAGGTTATGTTAAGAAATAAAGTTTATATAATGTCTAATTTCATATTGTAATTGCATTCTTCCACAAAGTTTTTGAAATCCCTTGTATTTCAAACCCATCTGGAAGAGCAGGATCAGATTCTAATGTGTACAACACAGGATCCTCTCATCAAAATGATCAAGTGGCCTGTGTTTAGGATTTCCAGTGGCAGACCCACACACAATGCCTTTAACGAGGTATCCTGAAGTTATCACTATCCCTGAGCCAAAACTGAATGATGTCACAAAAGTTATTCGAGGCCTGAAATGATAAGTGGCAGCTGTTAATACTGACTAACCTGCATTTTCCATAAAAAGATGAAATGATGGGCAGAAACTACTTGATATAACAGAGAAGTCAGTGGATGAAAAGAGAGCTACCAACACAAACTCAGTAAAAATACTTTGGAAATACAGTATATTGATCCAAATTTTAAAAACAAACATAAAATGAAAGGAGTAAGAAGAATTATAGATTCTTACTTAGTACATTTGATTTAAAAAAATTCCAAAAATTTATTTAAGAAGAAGCCAGATATAAGATGAAAAATAAACACAGGGAAGATTATTTAGAACAGGAAATGTCAAGAAATACATTTTAGAAAGAGAGTGGGGAGAAAATACTTTCAGAATAATGCAAAAATAAAAAAAATTTCTGTGTGGAAGAACAATCTGGGAGACAGCACATGTACTAAGAAATAGATCAGTGCAATACCCTTGAGGCTTTTATGTGGGTTCCTGACTATCTCATTGGAATATATAACTGTGGCCACTCATTATAAGTGGGAGTGATTAAAAATTTTTCCTAGAAGAACAACTGAATGTGGCGACTCATGCCTGTTATCCCAGGACTTTGGGAGGGTGAGTTGGATGGATCCCTTGAGGCCAGGAGTTTAAGACCAGCCTGAGCAACAAATTGTGGATCCATCTCTTCAAAAAATTTTTAAATAAATTAAAAAATAATAAACGGGCATGGTGGGTGTCATGAACCTGTAATTCAAGCAACTCAAGTGGTTGAAGTGGGGGGAATCCTCAGAGCATAGGAGTTCAAGGATGCTGGAAGCCATGATCAGGACACCACACTCCAGCCTGGCTGACAGAGCAAGAGCCTATATTTACATATATATAATCCTGTAAGACATAAAGCCCAAACTGCATCTGATCAAACATTCTAATAAAGGGGAAGAGCAAGAAAAAATTCTTAAAGACATGAAGTAGGATGGCTCATTCAAGGACGTGTATTCATTTTGTTCATTTCTAGAAACCTCTGGTAGTTTTTGTGTCCAACTTTGTTTTAACCTCTCCATGAATATTAATAATAGAATACGTTAAGACTCCTGTATCCTACAACACCAAGACTTTTCTGATTGGAGCCAGATCCAAGGAATATTGGACAATCTGTGTGGGTCCAACCAGGCTGAGAGCCAACCTTCTGTCAGCCATGAATGGCCAGGTTTGTGTTGTCTGCACACAGCTCAAAGTTCCAAAGAAATAATCTCTACATAATCAAATGTTTAGGGAAATATGATAGGCATAGGTATAGAAAACTCCACAGCCAACATCTTGTTCCTTAGAATATGATTGTGTTTAGAAAACAGCCCTAAGAAGAGGTGATCAAGCTAAAATGAGGGAGTTTCAGTGGAACTAAATCCAATAAGATGAGTGTCCTTAGAAGAAGTGGAAATTCCTTATAAGAACTGGAAATTTGCACACAGAGAGACACAATAAGTACATAGGCACAGACGCAGCCCCATGGGAGGACACAGCAAGAAGGTGATATCTAGATGCCAAGTAGACAGGGCCCAGAAGAACTGAACCTGCTGACACCTTCATCATGGAACTTGAGCATCCAGAAGGGTTGAAAAGTAATTTCTGTTGCTTAAGAATGTTAGTCTGTGATATTTTGTTTTGATGGCTATTATAAAGAAATTCAGGGGAGAGCAGGTTTTAGGAGGTACAAATCAAGAGTCCTGCTTGGCACATGGTAAGTTTACATTATTTTAAATGGCAAGTTGATTGCTGAGGTCCTTGACTCATGGACAAGTGCCTAAGCTTTTGTTGCAGCCTTGCTCCTTGCTTTTACCCCATCCTAAATCAGTGACACTGTCTCCATCAGTTCTTTGGTAACCTCTATTTTGCTTGTCTCTGGTAGCTTGATATCTGGTATTTACTCCTTCCTGATATGCTAATCTCTTTCACTCATTTCTGACATAGGAGAAGGACAGGTTGTGAGCTGAGTGATATTTGGAAGCATCACCTCTTGTCTTGCTGTACTCAGCAGACAAGGAGAAGTCTGTCTCCAACCAGGACTGCAACTTCCCCACTGACTCCCACAAGGAGTCACATCTGCCTGGCTCTCCCCTCTGCTTCTTCTCTCTTGCGTTTCTTTCCTTCCTGATGGGCCACCATAAGCTACCTAGGCCAGACTGCCCATCAACAGCTTCCTTTTCAAACAATGTTTGGTGAAACCAGAGAAAATCATTCAATAACATCAGGACACCAGACTGGCCCAAGTACTCTGTCTCTCTCTTAAAGAATGTGAATCTCAGTTACAAATGTTAAACTTTCTGTGTAACTGGAGAATATTTGGCCACTGGTATTATATTCCATCTTCAGAAAACATCCCTATTTATCCTAGGAGATAAACAAGAAACCAATCTGCCTAGTCAGCTGGAAAATTCTGAGTTACCTCTAGTAGAGCTTATTGTATCAGGACACCTTCCTATATGCAGTGGGTTGTTATAATGTTGAAGGAAAATGTATATCCTATTAAGAAACACCATGAATGGATTCCAATGTTTTGGCACCAAAATAAAATCATAATCTTTTGCTATAACATGTCTGAACAGGAGCTAGTTTGAGGCATGAAGGAAAATAAGAAAGCAGTTTCAAAAGACCCCTAAAAGAGCAACATGAATTCTTCTAAAATTAAAGTGAGTAGGAGCATCAAATGTACTGTGAAGCTTGGGTGGAAGAAGGTAAAATCATTGATGGTGTCCAAAGAGTTGTCCTACTTGACACATGGTAAGTTGACATTGGTAGAAGAAGTCAGCAGTTCACAAATTCAATGAGAAGTTCCTCATTTCAAGAAGGAATGAGGCAATGTTGAACCTAAAGCTTACAGTGACAGATGATTCACATCACATTGCAAGGAATAAATTCATCTTCTTTAAACCCAGGAGAAGAGGTGTGATGATTAGTAGCACACACAATAACCAACACTGCAGACTTCTCAGTTGGTTCAATTTACATGAATCTAACTGAATGATTAAAGTTTAGTAAGCTTTTCACTTAATGGATGCCCAAACTGTGTCACCAAGATCAAGTACAGACAAGAGCAGAAGTTTCCCTAAAAATTTAAATAGGAACAATGAAGACCATAAGCATTTCTTCAGTGAATTATAAGAGGAGATAACAAGTGACTTTACCAGTAAAATCTGGAAAACAAATACAATCAAAGCAATGGCTATCAAGAGGTGGAAAAGTCCAGTCAAAACAAAAGTGGATGAGGAGAGCACAAAGGTCATGGCAAGAGTTTATTGGAAAGCTCAAGTCATTTTGCTGGTTGACTTTCTGGAGAATGACAATAACTGCTTATTCTGAGAATATTTTGAGAAAGCCAAAGCTTTAGTATAGGAATCCTTGGGAAAGCTTCAGCAGAGTCCTTCAACACAACCTTCACAACCTTGCTTCTGCTCATTTCTCTTATCAAACAGGGTAATTATAAGACAGTTCTGATGGAAAATCATTAGGCTTTCACATTGGTGAGAAGTGAAGCCAAGTGGACTTCCCGGGTCGAGTGGGGAGTTGGAAAACTTTTCTGTCTAGCTAGATGATTGTAAATGCACCAATCAGTGCTCTGGGTCTAGGTAATGGATTGTAAGTGCATCAATCCACACACTGTAAAAATGCACCAATCATTGCTCTGTGTCTAGCAAAAGGATTGTAAATGTACCATTCAGCACTCTATAAAAATGCTCCAATCAGCACTCTGTGTCTAGCAAAAGGATTGTACATGCACCAATCAGCACTCTATAAAAATGCACCAATCAGTGCTCTCTGTCTAGCTAAAGGATTGTGAATGCACAAATCAGCACTCTGTAAAAATGCACCAATCAGGACTCTGTGTCTAGCTAAAGGATTACAAATGCACCAATCAGCACCCTGTAAAATGGACAAATCAGCACTCTGTAAAATGGACCAATCAGTGCTCTGTAAAATGTACCAATCAGCGGGATGTGGGCAGGGCCAAATATGGGAATAAAAGCTGGCCAACTGAGCCAGCAGTGGTAACTTGTTTGGGTCCCCTTCCATGCTGTGGAAGCTTTGTTCTTTTGCCCTTCACAACAAATCTTGCTGCTGCTCACTCTTTGGGTCTGCACTACCTTTATGAGCTGTAACACACACGAGAGGGTCTGCGGCTTCATTCCTGAAGTCACTGAGACCACCAACCCACCAGGAAGAAAAAACAACTTTGGACACGGCCTTAAGAGCTGTAACAATCACTGCGAAAGTCTGTGGCCTCACTCCTGAAGTCAGTGAGAACAAGAACCCACCGGAAGGAAGAAACTCCAGACACATCTGAACATCTGAAGGAACAAACTATGGACACACCATCTTTAAGAACTGTAACACTCACTGCAAGCATCCGCAGCTTCATTCTTGAAGTCAGCGAGACCAAGAACCAACTGGAAGAAACCAATTCTGGACACATTACAACCCTAATTTGGTTTCTTTTGTTTTCTTTTTGTTTTGTGTTCTTATAACGTTTGTAAAAGGCATCCATTTTTCTTCAGTTGATAATGTAAAAAATACATATCAATAGCTGGCATGTTGACCAAAATGTATGACAAGTGGTCAATAATTTGTCTCCTTTTATATAGCTCATTAACAAGAAGGATTGGGAAATGGTTGTAAACTGAGTACCAGGTGGTAGAATTGAAGGAAACTTCCCATGTAAAACTTTCAGTTTTTGCTCCATTCCAAAGATAACAGGAGGTAAAGGGTTAAAGATGCCCCAAAGCTGTTGCAAACATTTGGGGAGACTTAAAATTCACGTGTTTATTCAGTTGAGTCTTAGGCTGTGGCTACAATGCTTGAATTAGACAGTAAATGTGTCTTACTTGCATGAAGACACTTTGTTCACATCTCTCATCACTTCTTTTCCTCTACTCTGATCTCAGTTCCTTTCAGGATTTGGGTTGGGCCTGAGAAGACCCTGACACAAGAAGGACTAAGGGCCCTACATACCCATCTCCAAATATTGAAAAAATATCAAAGAGGGTAGAAACATAGATATTTATAGCTCTATTGCCTATACTTGCTCAATTCACCGTTGTACTTGATTCTGTCGGAGTGGGGGAAGGCATGCTGAGGATACAGGATAGAGCTACAGTGGCATATAAGGGGAAAGAAAGGAAGAGACTGGAAGTCTGTTGAATCCATAGACACTGGAGATGCATTTAAAGGAGGTAGACCCTGGGGCTAGAAGCCAGGGTGGGGGAAAAAAAGCTTTTCAGTTGCAGTAGTCATTTATTGTTATTATTGTTATTATTAGTATTATTATTTCTTTTTAGAGACAGGGACTTGTTCTCTCACTTAAGCTGGAGTACAGTGGTGCAATCATGGCTCACTGCAGTCTTGAACTCCTGGGATCAAGCAATTCTTCCAGATCACCCTCTGAATTAGATGGGACTACAGGTGCCCATCACCATGCAAGGTTGATTTTGTAAATTTTGTTGTATACATGGGGAGATCTTGCTATATTGTTAGGCTGATCTTGAATTCCTGACATCAACAATCCTCCAATCTCAGCCTCCAAAAGTAGTGGGATTACAGTCATGAGCCATTATGCTGGGTGTATAGTCACTCTTTCTACCTCAGCCTCATTTTCCTGCATTCTGTAAATCCCCAGTCAGAAGAGAGCAGGGCTGCCTGGCTACTGGGATAGCCTCTAAGAAGCAAATGTTAAACTCTGTGGTTCTTGTAGAGGAAAAGAGAAAAGAAGTGCTTGTGTTCATTTGAGCTTTGAGAAAATGGGGTACAAAACATGAAAAGTTAGGAAGACATAGTGGATAAGGCCTTTGGGACCCATTCAGCGCACTTTTCTGTTGTTTTTAATTTTATAAGTGTGTACTATATGAAATGCTTATACTCTTATCTCATAAGAGCCAAGGAGAATCATCCACATAGAAGTTCCAAGTAGAATAATGTCAGTGGGATTAACCCTTCTGCCAGTGGAGCCAGTGGGTGGATCACGATGTAGCCTGAGTGCCTCCACCCTTCAATGTCCAAAGCTTGCCTTGTTGAATTTTTTGTGTATTGTAAACACAGAAAAATGCCCATGTGAGGCATAAAATAGAAAATTACTCAATATACTTTTACAAACCGTAAACAATTGACCAATTCTTAATGAAGGATATAATCAAGATATAACAGCCTTGAAACCACTTCGATATGGAAATGATCAGACTTTAAAGCAGCTCTTATAGTCAACTTTTCTGAGGTAAATGTGAACACTCTCAAAGTAAATGGGAAAAAGCTTCTCAGCAGAAAAAGGAACTATAGAAAATAATAAAATAGAAATTTCAGAACTGACATATATAAGTCTAAAATTTGAAAAAAGACCTTGTAGACTGTGAAAGTTTTTCAGAAAGTAAATGATCGAGGTGTTTGAGGACAAAAAAACTAAATTAGCCAAGTCAAATCCAAGAAGAGACATCTTAGAAGAAATGAACCTGTTAACACCTTGATCATGGAATGTGAGCCTCAGAAAATCAATTTCTGTTGTTCAAATTACACAGTGTGTTTTGGTTTTTTTTAGGGCAGACATAACAAACTACGTCAAGGGAGAGCCGTTTAAGATGCAGAAATCAAGGATCTTTTTTGGGACATATTATGTTTGCATCCATATTAGAAGGCAAGTGGATTGCTGAGAGCTTCAACTGACCAAAAGGTGCCAGGGCTCCTGCTGCAGACCTGCTCCTTGCTTTGACCCCATCCTTACTCACTGACAGGTCCTCATTCAGCTCTTCTGTCATCTCTGTTTTATTTGTGTGTGGAGATTTTGTAGTTAATATTTATTCTTCCCTAATAAACTAATCTCTTTCACTCATTGCTGACATTGGACAATGTCAGAGAAAGGGCCTGAGCTGAGTGATATTTGAAGGCAATGCCTACTGTCTTCCTGTACTCATCAAGCCAAGGGGGAGTCTTTTTACACCAGGACTACCACTTCTACAGCAACCTATGCAATGAGGCAAGTCTGCGAAGCACTCCCCTCTGCTCCTTCACTCTGATCTTCCTTTCCCACTAAAAGGTCTACCGTAAGTCATTAGGCAGGACCATTCTTCTCCAGTTTCCCTGTCCAATTAGTGTGTGTAGAAACCAATCACAGTCACCCTGGTATCATTAGGGCACGTGCTAGGACAAGCAACTGCTTTATGCCCCACCCCCCCAAGCACATAAAGCCAAACTACAACGGTTTTCTTACTGCGTAGCCAAAGAAGAATTGCTAGCTGGTAATATATTTCCTCTTTAGCAAACATCCCTAATATTCCAGAAGGGGTAAGGGAGGAAAACAACAATCTATCTGATCACCAGCCAATGGCAGAGTAATCTGCAACAACCCTCGTTTTATGAGGAAGGCTTCCAATAATATAAGGCATCTTCAAACTGTTTGTAGAAAATACATATGATGTTTAAAAATTATGCATGGATATAAACATTTTTTGTATCAAAATACATTTGTACTAACTTGTTACAACATGTCTGAACAGGATCTCGTTCAGTCACTAACATGGTTGAGAAACCGGTTTGAAAACAGCCTCTATCAGAGCAGCAAAAATTCTACTAAAATTGTAGGAAAAACAAATTCGAGTTTATGTTGAAGCTTGGGTGGAGGGATGGTGACATCACTGATGCATTAGGACATATTTGTGCGCATGTAAATCAGCCCTTCACAGAATGGATAACTCACTTTAAGAATCGATGAGATAATGGTGAAAGTAAACATTGCAGCAGCAGACCATACACATCAACTTATGGGCAAAAACTTTATCTTCTTTTGGCCTAATTGAAGAGGTCTGACAATTAACAACAGAAACAAGAGCTTAAACTTGAGCAAACTATCCACTTGATGAGGGCCAAAACTGCTGTACCCAAGTCAGCTACAGACAAGAACAGAACATTCAATGAAAAATTAAAGAAGTAGGAAGGAGAAGAAAAGAAAAGATCCTAAGCATGTCTTTGAAGAGCTGTAACAGGAGATCAAATGTGGCTTTACCAGTGCCACTCAAAGGGAAAAACACAATCAAAGCAATGGGTACCAAGAGGTGGAAGTGGTCTAGTCTAAGTAAATGCGACAAAAACAAATATTATGCCAACAGTGTGTTCGGATGCCCAAGGTATTTTGGTTGATAACTTTGGGGAGGGTCAAGGAATGACAACATCGACTGGAAAATTGCTCCTCTTTCATGAGGGGAATGAGCAGGAGCTTTGTTGTGATGGAGAAGGACTCTGCTAAAGCCTTTCTGGGCATTCATCTGCTAAAGTTTTGCCTAACTTTCTCCAATCTTTCATAAGTCGATATCATCATTCTAAGTGAAGTAACTTAGGACTGGAAAACCAAATATCGTATGTTCTCACTCATGAATGGGAGCTAAACTATGAGGATGCAAAGGCTTAAGAATGACACAGTGGACTTTGGGAACTCAGGGGGAAAGAGTCAGAAAGAGGTGAGGGATAAAAGACTATAAATTGGGTGCAGTGAGTACTGCCCAGGTGATGGGTGCAACAAAATCTCACAAATCACCACTCAAGAACTTATATACATAACCAAACACCACCTGTTCCCCAACCTATGAAAATAAAACAGAAAAGAAAAAAAAGAAAATCACTAGGCATCCAATTTACAGTACTGATGCAGTATCTTTGAATTTCTTTTTCTCTAATATTAAAATATCTTTAACGTGTATTCTGTTTTCTTCAGTTAATAGTGTGAAAAGACTGCATTTATATGGTGAAATTCCCAGGGTCCCCAATTCTTTGTAGATAGGCTAAATTTCTTGTATCATTACTTGCCAAACTTCTTGAATGTGATGGAGATAATGTTAAGAAATAAAGTTTATATTGTCTACTTTCATATTGTGATTACGTTCTTCCAAAAAATTTTTGAAATCCCCTTGTATTCTCAGACCCTTCTGGAAGAGTAGGAACAGATTCTTATGTGTACAACACAGGATCCTCTCATCCAACTGATCAAGTGGCCTGTCTTTAGGATGTCCAGTCACATCCCCACACACAATACCTCTAACAAGGTCATCTGAAGTTATCACTATCCTTGAGAAAAAACTGAATGACAGTACAAGACTTATTCGAGGCCTGAAATGGTAAGTGGCAGCTGTTGATACTGACTCACCTATACTTTCCATGAAAAGGGTGGAACGATGGGCAGGAACTACTTGATATAATAGAAAAGTCAGCAGATGAAAAGAGAGCTACTAACACAAACTCAGTAAAAAGACCTTGGAAACACAGTATGTTGATCTAAATTTTAAAAACAAAAATGAAAAGAAAGGAGTAAGAAGAATTATAGATGCTTATCTAGAAGATTAGATTTAAAAAATTTTATCAAATTTTATTTAAAAAGAAGCCAGAGGTAAGATGAAAAATAAACACAGGGAAATTTGATTTAGAACACAAAATGTCAACAAATACATTTTAGAAAGAGAGTCTGGAGAAATTCGTTTCAGAATATTGCAAAAATGAAAAAAATTTCTTTGTGGAAGAACAATCTGGGAGAGAGATAGCACAGGTACTAAGAAATAGATCAATGCGATATGCTTGAGGCTTTTATGTGGGTACCAGACTATCTTATTGGAATACATAATTGTGGCCACTCATTATAAGTGGGAGTGATTAAAAATTTTTCCTAGAAGAAGGACTGAATGTGGGTACTCATGCCCATTATCTCAGGACTTTGGAAGAGTGAGGTGGGAGGATCCCTTGTGGCCAGGAGTTCAAGACCAGCCTGAGCAACAAAGTGAGGCTCCATCTCTTCAAAAATTAAAAATAAATAAATAAATAAATGGGCATGGTGGGTGTCATGAACCTGTAATCAAACAACTTAAGAGGCTGAAGCTGGGGGAATCCCCTGAGCACAGGATTTCAAGGATGGTGTAAGCCAGGATCATGACACCACACTCCAGCCTGGGTGACAGAGCAAGAGTCTGTATAAAAAAAAATTCCTAGAAGATGTAAAGCCCAACTAAATCTGATCAAACATTCTAACAAAGGGGTAGAGCAAGGAAAAAATTTTGAAGTCATGAAATAGGGTGTCTCATTCAAGAACTGTGTATTCTTTCTGTTCATTTCTAGAACCCCTTGGTAGTTTTCATGGCCAACGTTTTTTTTAACCTCCCCATGTATATTAATGATAGAATGCATGAAGACACCTGTATCCTACACCAAGAGTTTTCTGACTAGACCCAGAGCCAGAGAATATTAGACAATCTGTGTGGGTCTGACCAGGCTGAGGGCCAACCTTCTGTCAGCCATGAATGGCCAGGTTTGTGTTGTCTTCACCCAGCTCAAAATTCCAAAGAAATGATATCTATATAATCAAATATTTAGTGAAATATGATAGGCATAGGTATACAAAACTCCACAGCCAACCTCTTGTTCCTTAGAATATCATTGTGTTTAGAAAACAGCCCTAAGAAGAGGTGATCAAGATAAAATGGGGGAGTTTCAGTGGAACTAAATCTAATAAGATTGCTGTCCTTATAAGAAGTGGAAATTCCTTATAAGAACTAGAAATTTGCACACGGAGAGACACAAAAATTATGTATGTATAGAAGCAGACCTACGGGAAACACAGCAAGAAGGCAGATATGTAGATGGCAAGCAGGCAGGGCCCAGAAGAACTGAACCTGCTGACAGCTTCATCATGGAACTTGAGCATCCAGAAGTGTTGGAAAGGAATTTCTGTTGTTGAAGGAAACCTAGTCTGTGATATTTTGTTTTGACAGTCATAATGAGGAAACTCAGGGGAGAGCAGGTTTTAGGAGGTAGAAATCAAGAGTCCTGCTTGGCACATAGTAAGTTTACATTTATTTTAAATGGCAAGTTGATTGCTGAGGTCCTTGACTCATGGACAAGTGCCTAAGCTCCTGTTGCAGTCCTGCTCCTTGTTTTGATCTCATCCTGAGTGACACTGTCTCCTTCAGTTCTTTGGTAACCTCTGTTTTGGTTGTCTCTGGTAGCTTGATACCTGATATTTACTCCTTCCTGATTTTCTAGTCTCTTTCATGCATTTCTGACATAGGGGAAGGTCAGGAATAGGGCATTAGCTGAGTGATATTTGGAAGTATCACCTCTTGTCTTCCTGTACTCAGCAGATGAGGAGTAGCCTGCCTCTAACCAAGACTGCAGCTTCCCCAGTGACTCCCACAAGTAGGCACTCCCCGCTGCTTCTTCTCTCTTACATTTCTTCCCTACCTGACAAGCCACCATAAGCTACCTAAGCCAGACTGTTCATCGCCAGCTTCTCTTTCCAAATAATGTTTGGTGAAACCAGAGAAAATCATTCAATAACATCAGAATAGCCGCTAGGCCCAAGCACTCTGTGTCTCTCTTGAAGCATGTGAATCTCAGTTACAAATGTTACACTTTCCATGTAGCTGGAGAATATTTGGCGACTGGTATTATATCCCATCTTCAGAAAACATTCCTATGTATGCTAAAAGAAAAACAAGAAACTCATCTGCCTAGTCAGCTGGAAAAGTCTATGTTACCTCCAGTAGATCTTCTTGTGTTAGGATGCCTTCCTATATGGAGTGGGTTGTTAAAATGTTGGCGGAGAATGTATATTCTATTAAGAAATACCGTGAATGGGCCAGGCGCAGTGGCTCACGCCTGTAATCCCAGCACTTTGGGAGGCCAAAGTGGGTGGATCATGAGTTCAGGAGATCAAGACCATCCTTGAAACCCCGTCTCTACTAAAAATACAAAAAAATTAGCCAGGCGTGGTGGTGGGTGCCTGCAGTCCCAGCTACTCGGGAAGCTGAGGCAGGAGAATGGCATGAACCCAGGAGGCAGAGCTTGCAGTGAGCAGAGACCGCGCCACTGCTCTGCAGCCTGGGCCACAGAGCAAGACTCCGTCTCAAAAAAAAAAAAAAAAAAAAAAAAAAAAAAAAAAAAGAAATACCATGAATGGATTCCAAATTTTTTGGCACCAAATGAAATTAGAATATCTTGCTATAAGATGTCTCAACAGGAGCTAGTTTGAGGAATTAAGAAAAATAAGATAGCAGTTTCAAAATAGTCCCTAGAAGAGCAACATGAATTCTTCTAAAGTTAGAGTTACAAACATCAAATTTATTGTGAAGCTTGGGTGGAAGAAGATGAAGTCACTGACGGTGTCCAAAAAGTTGTCCTACTTGCCACATGGTAAGTTGACATTGGTTGAAGAAGTCAGCAGTTCACAAATTCAATGAGGAGTTCCTCATTTCAAGAAGGAATGAGGCAATGTTGAACCTAAAGCCTACAGTGACAGATGAACCATGTCATATTGCAAGGTATACATTCATCTTCTTTATACCCTAAGAGAAGATGTGTGACGATTAGCACCACACACAATAGCCAACACCGCAGACTTCTCAGTTGGTTCAGTTTACATGATTCTAACTGAATGATCAAAGTTTAGTAAGCTTTTCACTTAATGGATGCCCAAACTGTGTCACCAAGATCAAGTACAGACAAGAGCAGAAGTTTCCCTAAAAATTTAAATACAAGCAATGAAGACCGTAAGCACACCTTCAATGATTTATAACAGGAGACAACACAAGACTTTACCAGTAAAATCTGGA
Organism: Homo sapiens; assembly: GCF_000001405.40. Classification (NCBI taxonomy): domain Eukaryota; kingdom Metazoa; phylum Chordata; class Mammalia; order Primates; family Hominidae; genus Homo; species Homo sapiens. The sequence continues at coordinate 13,251 of NT_187588.1, forward strand.
AAACAAATACAATCAAAGCAATGGCTACCAAGAGGTGGAAAAGTCCAGTCAAAACAAAGGTGGATGAGGAGAGCACAAAGGTCATGGCAAGAGTTTATTGGAAAGCTCAAGTCATTTTGCTGGTTGACTTTCTGGAGAATGACAATAACTGCTTATTCTGAGAATATTTTGAGAAAGCCAAAGCTTTAGTATAGGAATCCTTGGGAAAGCTTCAGCAGAGTCCTTCACCACGACCTTGCTCCTGCTCATTTCTCTTATCAAACAGGGCATTTATATGAGAGTTCTGATGGAAAATCATTAGGCTTCCACATTACAACCCTAATTTGGTTCCTTTGGATGTATTTGTGTTTTGTAATCTTATAACGTTTGTAAAAGGCATCCATTTTTCTTCAGTTAATAATGTAAAAAATACATATCAATAACTGACATGTTGACCAAAATGTATGACAAATGGTCAATAAATCTTCTCCTTTTATATAACTCATTAAGAAGTAGGATTGGGAAATGCTTGTAAACTGAGTACCAGGTGGTAGAATTGAAACAAACTTCCCATGTAACACTTTTAGTTTTTGCTCCATTCCAAAGATAACAGGAGGTAAATGGTTAAAGATCCCCCAAAGCTGTTGCACACCTTTAGGGAGACTTAGATTTCAGGTGTTTATTCAGTTGAGTCTTAGGCTGTGGAAGCAAACTGGATGTGTCCTCATGAGCTACCACCATATTCTCTCTTCTTCCCAAGAGTGTACTCAGCTAAGCGAACAAGATGCCTGGGGGAGAAGGGTACAAAATAGGGGCAGAGTTTCAGAGTCTCACTTAGTAAGTCTGTTGTAGAATCCCTCCCAAGGAAAACCAAAGAGCCTGAATAAAGAAAGAATACAAAAATCTGTGGCCTTCCCTGATGTTCCAGTCATGGACTCTTCAGAATAAACAACAGTGGTATGTCCCAGAAATCAGGGAAGGAATGTCTTCATTTAAAGAGAAAACCTCTGGGGAAATCACTCTTCCTATTAAAAATCAAAGAACCTCCATGAATTGGTAATTGCCACAGTCAGCACCATCTCTGGATACACAGATGTGGAGATAGATGGATCCAGGACACCAGCAGAAATGCCCAAATGGATTAGGGCCATGAAGCTGCCCTTGCTTTTATAGACAAACATGAGAATTGTCCTTACCCCGCCGTAAATTGTAAAGAAAAGAAAACATTGCTAACATTGACCATTCCTTCCATGCTTAAAGGTAGAAACACTACAAATACTAAGGGAAGGTGCCATTCTGCAGGGAGTATGTTCTTCAAGGGAAAAACTAGTGGAAGAGCAAGAATCTATAGCTGTACCTCATTTCAATAGGCCCTTCAGTCACCACTACAGTACACTCTTTAGATTCCTCCATGTATAATCTGCAATGGCACAGTACATTTACAGCAGTGCAGGAAGATAGCCATTATTTGTAGACATAAGAATCAGATTATTTAGAAATTTGCTTCTATAGGTATTCCCAAGTCTTCTTTTCAGAAAAAAATTCAGATATCCCTCAAATGATTGGAGTTTGTTTTAGGGAGGAGAAGGTCTTGAAATCTTATGATCCCCATGGGTCAGTGGAAGACAGAAAAATACATAAAGGCTTGAGTAAAGGAGTCGGCATAAAGAAGACCACTGCTAGTTCATGAACCTTCTAAATCTCTGTATTCTGTTCACTCTAAACAGGATCTTGGGAAGGGCCTGTGCACATGAAGGACCCCAAAGTTCAAGCTTCAGAAGCTTTGTAGATCATTCCAATCTGACAAAAACCGTATGTCAATGTTGTTAGGTTGACTAGTTAAATAAGCCTTTAATTGCTCAATAAAAATGTACAAAGGCATGTTTCCATCAAGAAAATTCAAATATAGACAAAAGCTTAGCTAAAAAGTAAGGTTAGCAAAAATGTAAGATAAATACAAACTCTTTTATGTATCATATCATAAAATTCTGTTTCTATGTCTGTTTACTAGAAGGCACAAAAGTTTTTTTTTTTTTTTTTAATAATATGGAGAGATTTGCTTTGGCAATTCCAAAGATGGATAAGTAATAGACTTGAAACAATGTACATTTGTTTTTAAAAAATTATATTTGTTAGTATATTAGAGTATAAAAATGTATTCAATATTTAAGATTGTTGCCAGATGTTTACTCAATAATGTTGTAAAAAATAACCATGTGATTATCAAGTCATGGTCATGTTACATTTAATGCAGCCAGGAAAGAAAAGACAGTGGCATATTCTTCTGATAAAATTAGGAACACAGGTAACAGCAGTCTGCCTTGTAAAGTCACTTGAATACACTTATATAGAAAGAGTCATAAACAAAAAGATCATCTGTAGAACCTGCTATAAACTGTGATAAGGAATTTATCTCTATACTCAGGGTATTGGAATGCACAGTGCATTGAACACATGGACTGATTTCTGCCCTTTCCCAATGTCCCAACAAAATTACAATAAAGAAGCACAGCAGAAATTAATACCCAAGATTGAGGAGAATGAAAGAAGAGATGACAATAAACAACAAATGTAAACAAAACTGTGGAATTGGAATGACAAATAGAAAAATAACAGAGTTTGTGATTGAGCAAAGCCAAAATCAGACATGAAGAGGGGACTGTTGTGCAATTTTTGCCAGAACACCTGGAAAATTTGTCCTATTTGAATATAGCATTTTCATGTGCAGAAATTTACATGTATGTACATTTTAGTGCATATTCTGCATCAAAGTTTGATCATTCTTCTTCAACTGAATCCTGTGCATTTCTTGCTACTTGATCCTAGGTATTTTACATTGTTCTCATGAATAAGGTCATTGTCTCATTTCTCTCTCTCTGTCTCTCTCTCTGTCTGTCTCCTTCATTTCTTTTTCTTATGCTGTTCCCTATGAAGTGTATGTGTTAGGGAAAGTCACTCAATCACATTAAGATTTTATTTCTAACTTTGAAAAGTGAACATAAATGCAAAAAATCCTCAAAGTGCTATTGTAAGTACTAGAAGAGCTAAGGCACCAGAAACATCACTATGCAAGATAGAAAGGAATGATCCATATATCTTTAGCTATGTAGCCATGCATGTGTTGAAATATAATATACGATATAGATAGCAAATGGGTCACTGAAACAAACTCGGTTATTGAATATTGTTTAGAGACAGTTTTGATCCAATCATTTTTAAAATGAATGTTCTATCTCTGTCTCACAGCATGGACATCCTCACAGCATGTGTCAGGTTCCATAAAGAACAATTTGGAATTGCATGGCATTTCTATGATACAGACTCAAAAGTCACAAAGTATCACTTCTGATATAATCTACTGGTCATGGCAGTAATGAAGTTCTACCCAAGCTCCAAGGAGGTAAAAGCAGACCTCAGCCCTTCAAGAGAGGAGATCAAGGTACCATTGTAAGAAGAAAACATTGGATGAATGATTCTGTCGTGATCATATTTTAAAAACAATTTCCAAGATGATAAATATGCATACATGTGGACTTCAAAATCAATGAAATACAGTAATAATTCGTGGTTCTTAAGCAGAGGAGACAACATCTTTTGAAAGAGATAGGTACAGGTTTATGGGTTTAATAAATGAGTCATTGATTAATCACTTTAATGAAATTCCTATCATCTTACCGACTTTGTACATGATCAGAAAAATATGAGGGTGACATACATTGCTTTGTATTTCTTATGAGATAAGTTGTGATTGTACTTCTCTATGAACTGATAGGATGTTTAACTGAAAGCTGAAGAATACACTCTGACATTGTGATAACAGTGGTGTGATGAGGCTACAGACACTTGACCTTAGGCTGATGACCAATGCCTTCTATGGCCCCAATCACTGAGGGTGGAACACCAGCTCTGGGGCCAGGACACAGGTGACATCTTCATGCAGAAGACTGAAAGTTATGTAAGTGGTATATAGTTTATCCTTTCTTAGACAACTCTCTGACCAGGCTCCCTCTTGGATTTCTAGAATTTTAGATCCATTGTGATTAGAAGGATCAAATTTAGTCAACTTAAAAGGGCATACACAAATTTTGTCAATGCTAATACGCCACCCAAGAAAAATGCATGTAGCATGGATTAAGGAAGGACATACAGGATCTACATTGACAGGGTTTTGTAATTAGAAAAAAAAAGGAATTAATTCCTCTGAGTGTCTTTATATAAATGCAAGCGGTAAAGCGGAAGACTAGAATATGTTTAAATGGGATTATGATTTCAAACAAACATGTTTACTCAGGAAAATATATTTTTAGTCACATTAGCCGTTAACGTCTCAGGAAAATTTAACCTTGACAATATTCTAAGAGAAACTTGTTTTTGTTCTCTGAATCTCATTTCCTTTCACTTTCTTTTAGAGAAATGAATGAATGAAGAGCAAGTAACCACTGGAGCACAGTAGGCAAGAACTCAGATCTGAGAACTGACTGCCTTCCATTCCACTTACTACCTTTATATGAACCTAGACACGCACCTAAATTACCTCATCTACAAAATTAAGATAATAATAATCATCACACCTCCCTAATATGATGGTTCTGAACATTGAATATCATATAGTAAATGCTGAAGAAATGTTTTCTATTATAATCAGCCTTTGCTAGGATAAATGGAAAGAATATAAATATGCTCAAATAATTGTGAAATATATATATATTAGAGAGCATCAACATCAAATAAAAATGTAAAGATGAAGATCCTACTAGTGTAACCAAAGTTTTTAGAAAAGTCAAAGCAACGCTGAATTCTCAAACACAACTGTGTTATCAGAATGGTTGGTTTACCCAATGAACACAGTAAGTTGAGGAGGATTTGGCTTTCTGTTCCATTCACAGAGCTTCCGCGTCTTCAAAAAGAGGGAGATGTGTGGGTGTGAGAGAGCTGAGGCATGAAGTTTGGATCTTATTACAAGTGCAGAAGAAAATCCTAAGAGCATTTGAAGCACAAAAGTGTTATGATCTAATTCCTACTTTTCAATGATCACTGTGACTGATGTGAGGGGAATGGATATGGGATGTGCTGGGGTAGGAATGTTACCAAGAGCAGCTGAGGATATTAAACTTCTTCAGGAGAGAGCATCATGGCCTGAACTATCACCTTCTAGTAAAGATTATGCAAGTTGTTGTATTTGGGATGAGTGTTGAAAGTGGAAGCAACTCGATTTGCTAAAGGGCAGTGCCTGAAGGGAGTGAGGAGTTTTGAACCACTGAACACTTGACTTAGAAAAGGTTGGGAGCTGTTATGAGAGCTGAACTGTGTTCCTAAAATTTCATATGTTGAAGACTGTTCCTTCTGGACCTGAGAATATGAACATGGATATTAGAAGGCAAGTGGAGTGCTGAGGGCTGCCACTCACATATAGGTGCCCAAGCTCCTGCTGCAGTCCTGCTTCTCTCTTCCACCCACATTCAGTCACAGACGGTATCCCTTTCCACATTTCCATCACCTCTTTTTTGTTTTGTCTGGTGAGTGCATAGCTTATATTTATGCTTTCCTGAAAAACTTTACTCATTGCTGACACTGGAGAAGACCAGGGAAAGGGCCTGAAATGAGTGACCTTTAGGGGCATTTCTGTTCTCTTCCTGTACTCTCCTGCCAAGGGGAAGTCTGTCTTGCATCAGGCTGTAGCAACCTCAGTTGGTGACATAATCAGGCAATGTCATCCTTGCCTCTTTGTTGCTCCTTGTCTCTGACATTCCTTTGCTACCTGATGGTCTAGCTTAAGCCAGCTAGGCAGGATTGTTCATTTCCATTTCCTATGGAAAACAGTGTCTGTGAGACCAGAGACACAAATCTCAACAAAGCACTGGGATCTGCTGGGACCAAGCAACTACTCTCTGCCTAAGATAAAACTCATGAAGCTCAGCTAGAACCAATCCACTTTCCATAGAGCCAGAAAGAACTGCCAATTAGTAATGTATTCCCCTTTGAAGTATGTCTATATTTATGCCAGGGAAAATACCAATCTGCCTGGTTCCCCTGCAAGGGCAAAGTTATGCATAGCAAAGCCTTTTGTATTAGGAAGTCTCCCTGTACTAATATCCGCAACTCTTCAGAAGGGCCAGACCAGACCCTCATGTGCACAGCACAGGATCCACTCATCCACAACGGTCAAGAGGCCTGTCTTTAGGATTTACTGTCACATACCCTCTCTACCCCCATCATACCTCCAACCAATCTGTTCTCAAATTAACACCAGCCATGCACAAAATGTGAACAATTACACAAGACACACAGAAGGTCTAAGTGGTAAATGGCAGCTGTTGATACTGACTAACCTGTATATTCCATGAACTGATGAGCAGGGATTTACCAGATATAAGAGAAGAACCAGCAGCTAAAAGAAGTGCTAACAATGCAGGACTCTGAGAGGGCTTTTTGGAAACACAACATTTATTGTGAAATTACACAGACAGGAATGAAAAAAGATGGTGAGGAGTATATATCCTATTACTTAAAAGATTAAATAAAGGAAATCTCACCAAATTCATGGGGAAAAGCCAGCTACATAATAAAAGATACACATAATGAGCTTGACTCAGAAAATAAAATATGTAAAAGAAGTACTAGAAAGAACGTGGGGAGGAATGCATATCAGAATATTGTAGAAAAATACTCGTGGAAGAAGAATCTGAGAAAACAGGTAACACAAATACTGACTAAACCAATAAAACCAATAGAATGCAATTGAGGGTTTGATGGTGGTATCTGATTATCTTATTTGAATGTAGAATTGTGGCCACTTAATTATCAGTGGTAAGAATTCGATATAATTCCTAAAAGAAATGAAGCAGTGGGTGAATTTTATAGAATATTCTAGAGAAAGGGAAGAGCATGAAGGAAATTTTAGCAACATGACATCGCATGGCTCCCTCACAGAACTATGTATTCAGTTTTCTCAGGTCTAGAAATTTCCTGGTGGTTTCTGTGTCCATTTTGCGTTAATAACCTCTAAAATTACTTTAGAATACAAAATTTTAGACTTCCTGTGTTGTACAGGACCAAGCCTTGCCTCAGCTGAGTGAGATCCACAGAAACTTGAACAATAGCCCTATCCTGAGCAGGCTGCGGGGCAGCTTTCTGTCATCTATGTGTGCACAGAAGTGTGCTGTCCTCACACATCTCATAGATAGCAGAAACCATCTCTATCACATCAAAAATTGAGCTAAATATGAAAATATCTGTACACACACATCACAAGAGATGGAAATAGGGCATAATAATATCCAGAGATATTGACCATCTTCACTGCTGGTTGTAGCATCGCTGCTCACACAGACATAAACAGAAATAAATAGCACAGTGGAAAGTGGATGATAGTCTTACCTAAAAGATTGAAACTCTAATGATATCTAAAGTTCAGTGATGACACAGTGCTGATGGCTTGGACACAGTTCCTTCAAAACCATTGTTCAAGTCATAGTTGTACCTTTTGGAAATAAGACACTAACAACATATCCTATCCAACTCATCTCTCTGGGCTAGAGTCTCAAAGAAAAATAAGGGATACACCTGACCTGCAGTGAGCAAAGCAGAAGCCAGTCTCTGAGGTGGTGAGGCCCACCCAGTGTGGAGCTCAAAGGTGCCATTGTTCTTCTCCTCTTTATAAAGGGAGTTGCCACGTTCCTCCCAGCACAGAGTTGGGAGTGACTCCAGAGCCTCCTGCAAGATGCTGTTGATTCTGCTGTCAGTGGCCCTGCTGGCCCTGAGCTCAGCTCAGAACTTAAATGAAGGTAAAACAGAAGGGGGAGAAGATGTGGTGACTCTGCTTGGGGCTTAGGAGGTGATAATGGTAATTACGGGGAAGAGAGGAGAATGAAAACACAGATGGGGCTGCAGAGTTTTCATGCCTAGGATCAGGAGACTTGTTGTGCCCTCATTCCACAATAAGAGTTTCTAATTTATTTAATGTACAATGAAATCCAATAAAGAATTTGTTCCAGGGGAATGAGAAGGTAAGATTTGCATTTATAGATAGAACTGTGCTGTGAAGGATGCAGTAGAGAATGCAAGGCAGATTCATGGAAGTCCAGCTGTGAAGATCCTAAACTGATCTCAGTAAGTACACAGGGATGATGGTGGCCTTGCTGTACAGTGCATCAGCATCGATGACGGCGATAGACACACACAGTATCAGAGATACTGCAGAGACAGAGAATTGGATGGAACACTTGTCTCTGTTTAACTAGAGATACAGAAATATCAGAGCCAATCATTGTCATTTTTCTCTCCCTTACACGCAGTATTTCAATGTGCTGGGAGTGGTATGGGTAAGATTGTATTGAAGTGATTACTTCTGGTTACCCCAATTGAGAAAGCATGTGTACATAAGCAATGTATTTATAGGAGATGGAGGGCATAAGAACACCAAAATATCACATTGAAGTACCTGGCATTTGTGAACTAAATTAGCATTAAGTCTTGAGGGATGCTAGGGAGGGAAAAAAGGGGCTCTTCTATGTTGAGTTCATGGCTGTTGCTCTGTCATAACAACCCTGCCTCCCCTTACACCTTCCTCCCCTTCCAGCAGCTTCACAGATGGTGGCTGATGAGTTAACTTAGGGGATGCATGGGGTGTGGTGAGAAGTCTGTTTTCCCTGCAGAACACTTGTGAGTCTTGTAAGGTTCAAGATGTAACTTTTCCCATCATCCTGTGCTTCTCTTCTAGATGTCAGCCAGGAAGAATCTCCCTCCCTAATAGCAGGTAAATCCCGATTCATTCTCAATCTGTTCTGACTGTCTTTTTCTGCTTATGAATGGATCAGTTCTCCAGTGTCTTCTTATCAAAACTTTCCTTTCGGGAATTGATTAATGTTAGTGCTCCTAATAATATAGGCACTCTTCATGCAACCTTGATTCTGGGCATCATGAGCAGGCCACCAAATTGAACGGCAGAGATGCTTGGCTTAGATGACAGCAGGAGTGGGTTACCTCATCCCCCTGGCCAGGAGTGCCTGCTGGGAGATGACAGACAAATGGGCAGCATCCTCATTCTGTCTCCTCTTTATAATGAGAGGCCCTCAACTGCTTTGTTCTTCCCTGGCGCTCCACTCCAGAGTTCTATGTCTTCACTGAAATGCAAAGAAATTAATGTCTTGGTCTCATTTTTGTGTGTTTCCCCACTCAGCTTGTTACCCAAACTCATGAAAATTTACTGCAACTATTCAGGGAATCTTGTATGGGCTTTTACTCTGTCTTTCTCTTCTCTCTTTGTTCTCCAGGAAATCCACAAGGAGCACCCCCACAAGGAGGCAACAAACCTCAAGGTCCCCCATCTCCTCCAGGAAAGCCACAAGGACCACCCCCACAAGGAGGCAACCAGCCTCAAGGTCCCCCACCTCCTCCAGGAAAGCCACAAGGACCACCCCCACAAGGAGGCAACAAACCTCAAGGTCCCCCACCTCCAGGAAAGCCACAAGGACCACCCCCACAAGGAGACAAGTCCCGAAGTCCCCGATCTCCTCCAGGAAAGCCACAAGGACCACCCCCACAAGGAGGCAACCAGCCTCAAGGTCCTCCACCTCCTCCAGGAAAGCCACAAGGACCACCCCCACAAGGAGGCAACAAACCTCAAGGTCCCCCACCTCCAGGAAAGCCACAAGGACCACCCCCACAAGGAGACAACAAGTCCCGAAGTTCTCGATCTCCTCCAGGAAAGCCACAAGGACCACCCCCACAAGGAGGCAACCAGCCCCAAGGTCCCCCACCTCCTCCAGGAAAGCCACAAGGACCACCCCCACAAGGAGGCAACAAACCTCAAGGTCCCCCACCTCCAGGAAAGCCACAAGGACCACCCCCACAAGGAGACAACAAGTCCCGAAGTGCCCGATCTCCTCCAGGAAAGCCACAAGGACCACCCCCACAAGGAGGCAACCAGCCTCAAGGTCCCCCACCTCCTCCAGGAAAGCCACAAGGACCACCCCCACAAGGAGGCAACAAACCTCAAGGTCCCCCACCTCCAGGAAAGCCACAAGGACCACCCCCACAAGGAGACAAGTCCCGAAGTCCCCGATCTCCTCCAGGAAAGCCACAAGGACCACCCCCACAAGGAGGCAACCAGCCTCAAGGTCCTCCACCTCCTCCAGGAAAGCCACAAGGACCACCCCCACAAGGAGGCAACAAACCTCAAGGTCCCCCACCTCCAGGAAAGCCACAAGGACCACCCCCACAAGGAGACAACAAGTCCCGAAGTTCTCGATCTCCTCCAGGAAAGCCACAAGGACCACCCCCACAAGGAGGCAACCAGCCCCAAGGTCCCCCACCTCCTCCAGGAAAGCCACAAGGACCACCCCCACAAGGAGGCAACAAACCTCAAGGTCCCCCACCTCCAGGAAAGCCACAAGGACCACCCCCACAAGGAGACAACAAGTCCCGAAGTGCCCGATCTCCTCCAGGAAAGCCACAAGGACCACCCCCACAAGGAGGCAACCAGCCCCAAGGTCCCCCACCTCCTCCAGGAAAGCCACAAGGACCACCCCCACAAGGAGGCAACAAACCTCAAGGTCCCCCACCTCCAGGAAAGCCACAAGGACCACCCCCACAAGGAGGCAGCAAGTCCCGAAGTTCTCGATCTCCTCCAGGAAAGCCACAAGGACCACCCCCACAAGGAGGCAACCAGCCTCAAGGTCCCCCACCTCCTCCAGGAAAGCCACAAGGACCACCCCCACAAGGAGGCAACAAACCTCAAGGTCCCCCACCTCCAGGAAAGCCACAAGGACCACCCCCACAAGGAGGCAGCAAGTCCCGAAGTGCCCGATCTCCTCCAGGAAAGCCACAAGGACCACCCCAACAAGAAGGCAACAATCCTCAAGGTCCCCCACCTCCAGCAGGAGGCAATCCCCAGCAGCCTCAGGCACCTCCTGCTGGACAGCCCCAGGGACCACCACGCCCTCCTCAAGGGGGCAGACCTTCCAGACCTCCCCAGTGACAGCCTCCCCAGTCATCTAGGATTCAATGACAGGTATGATTCCAGTTTATTCTTCACCAAGTGCTCTAATTGCTACAGCTCTCCAGCTTTATTGTGCCAATGAATCAGCTAAAAGCCCATTGGCATTGTATAGTCCCAGATCCCATTTCTAAAGATTTGTATTGACATATTCTGGAAATGGGTAACAAGATCCTATATTTGTAACAAACTCTTTAAGGAATTCTGATGTTGAGAAACAAAATTCCAAATAATCTGTCTTAAGTTGTGTTGGCAACAAGGAAGTAGTACCATGTTCTCTCTGGCGCTCTGTTTTCTGTGCACAAACTGAGAGACCTCCCATTTAAAGTTTTCACCTGAGCACTGTTTGCTCAGTCCTGCCTCACACCAGCCTCTTGAGTCCAGTATTCCTGCCAAGTGGTCCCTGAACTTTCAGCAGCTAAATGGTGTCTCATTTTTCAAATTCTTACTGTTCAATAAGTACATGATTAAGCTAACAAAAAATATCTAATGCAATGGAAAAATATGAATCTAAATTTAAAGGCATGACTCATCCTACCTGCCTCCCCTCCTTCAGAAAACTGCCACTGTTAACTTTATGGCATCTTCTGTTTGAAATATTTATGTGTACATAGACTACTAGAATATTTTTCCCCCAGAACTAATACCATAATTTATATTCAGGTACATATGTTAGTCATTTAAAAAATACATTTCTTTGAAAATTTCCACATACGTCTATGAAGCTAAGTAGATCTCTTCAGTGGTTATCTGTTTGTTTTTACCATTTTATACTACTCCATTATGTGGCTGCACCGTGATTTCTTTAACCAATCTGTGTCACTGGACACTGAGGGTGGTTTCAGCTTCTCACTGTTATAAAATATGTTCCAGTTCCCATCTGTGTAAATATATCTGTGAACAAATTCAGCAGCAAGTAATAATAAGCTAAGAATGATCTTCTGTCTTCATCACGTAAGGAACAATTTGGAGCACATTTTGTGCAAGGGCATCCAAAGAGTGAACACACAAAAAATTAGGGAGGAAACACAGGAGGTAGAAGGGATGGGGGAGAGAGGATGGGCTCTCATGTACTGTAGTGCAGTAAGACCAGTGAGGAATTCGACATTTCCTGCCATGTCAAGTCTGGTCTATGAACTTCCTTCTTTGTTTGTTTCAGGAAGTGAATAAGAAGATGAGAGTGATTCAAATGATTCAAATTCCATGACATTGGAAAAAGGTCATCATAGCTCTAACTTCAATATACCAATAAAATAATCAGCTTGCAATTTCTGATTGTGGTGTCTGTTTCTCAATATTTGTGAATGTGGGATCTGAGGACCAAGAAGACTGTATAAGAACATGTAGGAACCCTCCTCCTTGATGCTCCAGGAAACTTCTCTCCTCCTTAATCCTAATTTACCCAGGTGCCATGAAAAAATATTTTACTGTTTCTCTACTTCCCTGACTTCTATTTCCCCCCCCACCCAAGATGGAGTCTTGGTCTATCACCCAGGCTGGAGTGCAGTGGCAGGATCTCGGCTCACTGCCCCCTGCATCTCCTGGGTTCAAGCTATTCTCCTGCCTCAGCCTTCCAAGTATCTGAGATCATAGGTGCCCACCATCATGCTTGGCTAATTTTTGTATTTTTAGTAGAAATGAGGTTTCCCCATGTTGGCCAGGCTGGTCTCCATCCCCTGACCTCTGGTGGTCTGCTTGCCTCGGCCTCTGAAATTGCTGGGTTTATAGGTGTGAGCCACCATGCCTGGCCCTTCCCTGACTTCTATAGCATAAATTGAAATTTTAAAATTATTTTCAGATTGTTTACTGATATTCCAGTGATCTTAAGGACAAAAAACACAACAAATGCAACAAAGTCACAGAAGCTGAATGAAATCCTTATAATTTCTAAGAAACTGAGTTTGGTTTCAAGGGAATGAATATGGCTCTATGCTTCTTATCCCCAGAACCCTGTCTATCTCATTGACCCTATTTTAACAGTGATCACTTCTCTCCCTTCCTGTGTTACTCACCATTCTTTAATGGAACTTGAATGGATTTCATGAAGGAGGCAGCACGATTTTAAGGAGCAAAGAATTTGGACACTCTCAGGTTTTAATTAAGACCTAATTCTTTTTCTTAATATCTCTGGATTCTTAAAAGGCTACTTGGCTTCTCAGGGCTTCAATTTCCTCATCTAAAATGAGCATAATCATAACAACTACCTTAGAGTATGGAGACTAATGAGATAACATACATACCAAAAACCTTGCAGAGACTGGCATGTCTGCTTCTCAAGCAAGGAAGGTTCAATATTAGAAACTGCCTCTCTGCCCACTGATAGTCTCAGATAATTCAGTAAGAAGTCAGAAAAATCAGAACAGAATGATCTCACCATAACCACCACTAAGTTGAGCAACCCATGTTCAGTTGAAACCCAGGTCTCTGGCTTCCCTCCTATTATCATAGGTGAAGCCTTCCTACCCCTATATCTTAACTTCCCACTTTATTCTGAACCACATTGCGTGGTCAGGGATTTTGCCTCTGCATGTGACCCGTTTGTCTCCTGATTCTTACATCTATGCTCTATGGGATTATTTCAATCAGCAAAAGCCTGCTGAAACATCACCCATTTCTATAGAAGTCTTCCTAAGACTGTTAGTGCTTCTTTCCTATCATATTATTTGTCTGCCATTTTTATTGGAAAAGTTCTTGAAACGTATGTATGTGATTATTTCCCCATCCCCCCACCTCCAAATTTTTCTTATGCACACGTTATAGATGCTTTTGTTCTGCCTAGTCACCTGGAAATCACAAAGATATCTATAGCGAACTTTATTGTATTAGGAAATCTTTCTGTAATACATTGGGTCCTAAAAAGATCATGAAAAATGCATATTGCATTTAAAAAGCTCTGCATGGATTCCAAAATTTTTCGAACCAAAATGAACTCAGATGGTATTGTCACAACATGTGTGAACAGGATCTACCTCGCAGCATCAAGAAGTCTAAGACAGTATTTTGAAAAGAGCCTCTATGACAGCAACATGTACTCTGATCAAACTATAGTGACTGCAAACATCTAATTTATGGTGAAGCCTGGGTAGAAGAATGGTGAAATAATTGATGCTTTTCAAAAAGTTTAAGAGGCCAATGGCCAAGAAAATCAGAAGCTCACAGATAGATAACTCACTTTAAGCAGGGATGATATGATTTTGAACATAAAGCCTACAGCGGCTGACCACTCATATTAATTTGCGAAGAAAAAATTCATCTTGTTGATACCATAATATAAGAGGATTAGTGATTAACAGTACAAACAATAGCCAACACTGCAGACTTCTCCATTGGTTCAGCTGACATGATTCTAACTGGATAATGAAAGTAGAGGATACATTTCCACCCGATGGATGTCAAAACTCTTGCACCAAGATCAGCTACAAACAAGAACTGAAGTTTCTTGAAAATTCAAAAAAATGGTATCAAGATCCTGAAGAATTTGTTCAAAGAATTGTAACAGGAATTGAAACATGGCTTGATCTGTACAATCTGCAACCAAACACAATCAAAGTAATGGCTACGGAGAGGTGGAAGTTAAAGCAAGAGTGGATGGGCAAAGGGCAAACGTCAGGGCAAAATTTATTTTTAAATCTCTCGGTGTTTTGCTTGTTGACTTTCTGGAGGGCCAAAGAATGACAATAACTGCTTATTATGACAATATTCTGAGATGCAGTCAGCTATAAAATCTAACATGGAAGTTAAAGGCAATCTCTTTTCTCCCTGTTGTTGTTGTTAAGTTGTTAACTTAGAAAATGAAGCAATATTTTTTTATTAGCCATGAGTGTCCACCTGGTATCTCCTATTTTCTAAGAAGGTTCTGAGCTATAGCACAAGTTCACCACTAAATTACAGAAGATGGAATAATTTTAGAAATCTAGAGAAGCATAGGATATTTCCAAAGGAGGCATAGATCCTGGCTGAGGGGAGGAAATTGTTTAAGGATGAGGGAAGGACAATTATTAGCTGTTCTCCATTGAATATGGGCTCAACAATTATTCATTGGAATGAAATTTTGAGAGTGGTTTTTACTTTATGAGGAAAGATGTTGCTTAATTGCCCTGTGTTAATAGCCATGATAATTTCATTCCTCTCTAATATTTTATAAAGTGGCACAAACACATTAGAGCAGCCACAAAAAAGTATGAAATGAATGTTTGGAAAGTATATTAGCTTTCCTATTGCTGCAATAAATAATACATTACCGCAAAGTGAGTGGATTTGTAGCTCAGAAGTCAGAAATGGGTCTCACTGGCTTAAATCCATGTGGAAAGGCTGTTTCATGCTGGAGTCTCCAGGGCAGAACCCATTTACTTGCCCACATTCCTTGGCCCTCTTCCATCTTCAATGCCAGCAGTAGCCAGATAAGCCTCCCATCACATCACATCACATCATGACACATCACGCCACGTCACGTCACGTCACGTCACGTCACGTCACGTCACGTCACATCACATCACCCTGGCACTGACTCTTCTGCCTCCCCATTCAACATTTAAGTATGTTGTGATTACATTGCTTGTACTTGGATGATCCCATAAAGTCTCTCTATATTCAGGTCAATTGATTAGCAAACTTAGTACCCCTTTGTCATGTAAGTTAACATATACACTGATTCTGGGAACTAGGAAGGGTGTGTCTCTGGGAGGCCATTAATCTTCATAGCACAGATGGGACGGACATCTTTCTCCCCTGGAACTGGTTTGATTCAGGGCAGGTGGAGAGAATTGCCCAGGCATCTTCCAGATGTTCGCATGAGAATATGAATGAGTTTATGTAAAATTAGTTGTAATGCTAATATTTGTACTTGAAGTATATATATATACAATAGTGTAAGTCACAAACTGAAATGGCAGAAATTTACTTTCAATAACCATTTTCATTTCATGTAATTGTTAATAATTTACAGCCATTTTGTTTACTTTATATTTATACTCATTTTGATTGTTTTCTTTCTTTCTATCTTCTGTGGATTCCTTGAAAAGGTTTTTTGATTCCATTTACGTTGATCTGCAATGTTTTTGAGTGTCATTCTGTATACAGCATTTTTAGTGGTTGCTCTGGGTATTACATTACACATACATAGTTTGTCACAGTCTAGTGGTGTGCTCTTTTTACCCTCCGGGGGCGAAATATGAAAACTTTATATCCCTGTTATTTACCGACCTCTGTTTGTAATATAATCATCTTAAATATATCTCTACGTGCATTTAGCAAAAACAGTACGTTTTATAATTTTTGCTTCAACATGACATTATTGTCTTTCAGTTTTGTAGCTCAGGATTCTGAATCGGGTCTCACTTGGTTAAATCCATGTGTCAAGGCTGAGTTTATTTCTAGGGGCACCAGAGAAGAATGTTATTTTTTGCCTCATTCCCTAGATCTCTTTCCTCCTTAATATTAGCAATAGCCAGTTGAGCAATTTGAAACTCCTGCAGAAAATTTGAGAAAAAAAGGAAAATGTTTTGTGTTTACTTACTTTTTCCCCATTTTCTGTTGCTTTTTTTCTTTTCTTTTTTTGCTTCATTCTTGCTGTTCCAGAAATTCCTCTTCTATACTTTTTTTCTGTTTAGAGTACTTGCTTGAGCCATTTTAAAAAAATTGGTTTGTTGGAAACAAATTCTGTTAGGATTTTTCTTTTCATTCTTCTGAGAATGACTGGATTTCTTTCTCCTTATTGAAGGATAGTTTTATTGGACATAAACCTCTGGTTGGCAATTTTTTTCTTTCAGCACTTCAAATATTTGAGCTACATTCTTCTGTTGTTTTCTGCTTTCTGGTAGTAACGCCACAGATATTCACATTGTGTTTTTCCTATACGCATGGTATTATTTCTTTCTATCTGCCTTTAAAACATTTTCTTTGTTTTAATTTTCAGAAATTTGACTACAATGTTGCTGGGCATAGATTTCCTTGGATATATTTTGGTTGGGATTTGCTCAATTTCTTGCATCTGCAGGTTTATGCCCATTGCAAGTTTGGGGGGTTCAGCCTTTCTCTTTGAGTCCTTTTTCAATACCATCCTCGTTTTTCTCTTTTTCTGAAACTCAGACTGCATGATTATCACATCATTTGTTACAGCCTTTCTTATTTGTGACACAAACAAAATTTTTTTTGACTATTTAATCCTGTGTTGTTCAGAGTATATAATTCCTATTAATGCAAACTCAAGAACGCTATGTCCTCCATCATTTTCTTTCTGCTGTTGATCACACATAATGAATTTTAAAAAATTTATACATTATATATCACAGTTCTAAAATTTCTATTTTATCTTATATGCTTTATTTTTCTCTGCTGAGAAGTTTTTTCTTTTATTTTGAGAGTGTACACATTGACCTCTTAAAGGATGGCTATAACAGCTGCTTTAAAGTCTCATCATTTCAATATCCAATTTGCTTCGAAGTTGTTGTCTCTTGATTGTTTCATTCCTTAATAATTGTTCAATTGTTTCTGGTTTTTTAAAGTATATTGGGTGATTTTCTATTTTGTCTTGCACATATGCATTTCCTCTGTTTGCAATACAGAAAAGTTTCAAAAAGGCAAGCTTTGGACATTGGAGGGAAGAGACACTAGTGCTACATTGTAATCCACTGGGTGGTTCAAATGCCAGAAGGGTTTGTCCCACTAACATTTTTCTACTTGGAGCTTGTGCCTGGAGGTTTCTCTCTGTCTCTAATGAGGTAATGTTATAAATATTTAATATCATACCATACATTCAAATGTAAAAACTACAAAAAACTGTGCGAATGTGTCCCAAGAGCCCAATTTACAAAGTCTTTCTGTCTTTTTTCTTTTGTGTACTGTTGACTCAAACCACATCAGTTGGTCAGGTACTTCTTTTTTCTTTTCTTCCTACAGGAACACCAGAGGTTGACATCTGCTTATTAGAAGCTATCACAGTAGTCAGGTGGCTCTGCTGTCTTCTGATTGGGGATTGACGGAGTGCAGGACAATGAGGCTTAGGTAAAAAGAATATCTACTAGCCTGGCATGGTGGCTCATGCCTCTAATTCCACTACTTTTGAAGGCTGAGGTGTGAGAACTTCTTGATGCCAAGAATCCCAGATCAGCTTGGGCAACATAGTAAGACCCTCTGTCTTTACAAAAAATTACCAATTTATCGTATCTCAGTGGGTGTGCCTGTAGTCCTAGCGACTTAGGATGGTTAGATGGAAGGATTACTTGAGCCCAGGAGATTGAGGCTGCAGTGAGCCAGGATTGTGCCACTGCACTCTAGCTTAAGCTATAGAGCAAGTCCCAGTATTTAAAAAGAAAAAGAAAAAAAAGAATGACTAGAGCTACCAAAAAGGCTTTTCTTCCTTAGCTTTTTCCCAGATTCACCGTTCTTTAAAGTGCATCTCCCAGTGTCTAGAGAGGACACAGATTTGGTTTCTCTTCCTTTCTTTCTTCTCACATGCTCCTGTGGCTACATCCTGTGGCTCTCGGTATGCCTTCCCCACTCTCAAAGAACCAAGTACAGTGGTGGTTTGAGCAGTTATAAGCAATTTGAGTCCTTACCCTACTTGATATCTTGCAATATGTTGGGATGAGTGTATAGGACCTTTGGTCCTCCTTGGGTCAGTGAGATCTCAGGCCCAGCCTGAATGCTTAACAGAATTGAGATCGGAGTAGGGGAAAAGAAGTAATAAAGGAGATATGGACTAAGTGTCTTCATGCAAGTAAGCAAGACACATTTGCTTTCAAATTCAAGTAGTGCAGACACTGCTCAAGGCTCAGCTGAATAAACATCAGAATTATACATTTCCCCAATGAACTGTAACAGCTTTGGGGGATCTTTGATCTTTCTATCTCTTGTTATCTGTGGAAGAGAGTCAAAATTAAAGTCTCATTTGTGAAGTGTGTTTTAATTCTAACACCTGATACTCAGGTTTCAACCATTTCCCAATCCCAATCATTAATGAGCAACATAAAGGGAGAATATTGAGAATATTTATTGACCAATCTTCATACGTTTTTGTCAGCATGGCCGGTATTTGTATGTCTTTTTTACATTATTAACTGAAGAATACTGGATGCCCTTTACAGACATTATGACATCATGAAATGAAAAGAAAACCAAGGGAACCAAATTAGGATTGTAATGTGAATCATTAATGATTTTCCATCAGAGCTCTCACACAATGGCCCTGTTTGATGAGAGAAATGAGCAGGAGCACTGTTGTGGTGAAGGACTCTGCTGAAGCTTCCCCAGGCATTTCTCTACTAAAGCTTGGGCTTTCTGACCCTATTCTCAGAATAAGCAGATATTGTCATTCTTTTGCCCTCCAGAAAGTCAACCAGCAAAATGCCTCGTGCTTCCCAATAAACTCTTGCCATGACATGACCTTTGCACTTTTCTTATCCACTTTTGCCTTGACTGGACTTTCCACCTCTTGATAGCTATTGCTTTGACGTATTTGTTTTCAGGATTGTACTGGTAAAGACAGGTTGCATCTCCTGTTAGAATTCCTTGAAGAAATGCTTCAAGATCTTCATCCCCCTTATTTAAAATTTCATGGAAAGGTCTGCTCCTGTCTGTAGCTTATATTTTTGCTATAGTTTTGGCATCCATTGAGTGAAAAATTTACTCAACATTAATTACTCAATTCGAATCAGGTAAGGGGAACCAATTGAGAATTTTGTAGTGTTGGCTCTTGTTTGTACCGAGAATTATTGGTACAAAAATTCATCTTGTACCAATTTTATCCATG
This sequence comes from Homo sapiens, assembly GCF_000001405.40. Lineage (NCBI taxonomy): Eukaryota > Metazoa > Chordata > Mammalia > Primates > Hominidae > Homo > Homo sapiens. The sequence goes on from NT_187588.1 coordinate 32,975, forward strand.
CAATTTGATATGAATCCTCTGTGTCTATGGGCTTTAGGTTCAACCTTGTCTTATCCCTTCTTGAAATGAGTTACCTACTTGTGAACTGCCAATTTTTAGGGCCATTATCCCTACCAGTGTTTCAGAAAGCATCATTGATTTCACCTTCTTGTACCCAAGCTTCACCATGAAGTTCACGTTTATACTCTTTTTAATTTTAGAAGAATTCATGATGCTCTCATAGGGGAACTTTTGAACTTGCTCTTATTTTTCTTGATGACTCAAGTAGCTCCTGTTCAGACATGTTAGAGCATGTCAATATGAGTTTATTTTGGTGCAAAAATTGGAATCTATTCTTTTTTAAATATAACATACTTTTTCCATGAACATTTTACAGTCCCAATGCATTACAGAAAGGCTTTCTAATACAATAAAATTTGCTACACATAAATTTGATTTTTCCAGGTGACTCGGTACATTGATTTTTTGTTTTTTTCCTGGCATATACAGGGTGAGGAATTCTTTTTGTTTGGATTTCTTGTGAGATATGAATAAAAATGTTGGTCACTTTAAATGGTATCCACAGTTTAGCCAATGTCTCCTGAGAAAAGTGTGTGTAAGCATGCATAAAAAGCACTTCATGATCCTGATTGCCAGTGATTTTTTCATTTATAAAAAAGAAGAAAGTGGCTGGGGGTGGTGGCTCATGCCTGTAATCCCAGCACTTTGGGAGGCTAAGGCGGGTGTATCACGAGGTCAGGAGTTCAAGATCAGCTAGGCCAAGATGGTGAAACCTGTCTCTGCTAAAACTAAAAAAATGAGCCAGGCCTAGTGACAGGTGCCTGTAATCCAAGCTACTTAGGAGGCTGAGGCAAGAGAATCGCTTGAAACCAGGTGGCAGAAGTTGCAGGGAACAGAGACTGTGCCACTGCACTGCAGCCTGGGTGACAGAGGGAGACTTCAGAAAAAAAAAAAAAAAAAAGAAGAAGAAGAAATTAATCATGTGCATGACTAAATACACAAAGATGAAGAAAAGGGGAATGTAGAAGCCTGTGTAATGTGCTTATGATTTAGAAACAACTTTAAGAAAATAGTTTTGTTTGTTTTTTTTTTCACTTCACCTGGTCATGTCTTAAGAAAAGCTTTACTTCAAGCAGGTCCTAAAACCAGTACCTGAGTTTCTTGTCTGGATCTAATTTCTTCTCACTTTCTTGAAAATAAACAAATATGTTCATAAATGCAAAGAGCAGTGGAGCAAAGGAGGCAAGAACTGAGGCTCTGGAGACTACCGCCATCTACACCACTTACTAACTTTATAACTATCTTGGCATGTGCTTCCATCATCTCATCTATAAAATGAAGCTTGTAATAAAAATTATTACTACCTGAAAAGATGGTTCTGAAGATTATATGGCACATAGTCAATGCTTGGTAAATATTTCCTATTATAGTCTATCATGTTACAATAGGCTTGTAGAATATGAATGTGCTAATATAATTGTGAAAGTTATGTTTATGAAGACTCTACTGTAAGTCAGCATATGAGAACCACTATCATAATAGGGTAGCCAGAATTTTTAGAAAAACCTAAGCAAAGTACACTTCTCAGAGACAATTGTGTTGAATTGTTAACTGTATCATCATAATGCTTAGTTGATTAAATGGGCACACAGAGGAACTCCCCTCAGACCACAGGGACTAAATGCAATTCACTCACTATCAGCACAACTCTGTCCATGTTCAACTTCTGGGCAAACCACTCTTTAGTTGTTCTAGACAAACCAGCGCATTGTAAAGTTGAAGAAAATTCTTCTTTCAGTTCCATGCATAGAGCTTCCCAGTCTTTGAGAATGACACGTGAGTACGAAGAAACTTAGGTGTGAACTTTACAAGATCTTACTAAAAGGAAAATCAGGAAAACTTAGAGGATATGAAGGAAGAAGGTAATATTTAATATTTATTATTAAAAGATCACACTGGCTATTGTGAGGAGAAGTGATATGGAATGTGGTGGGAGCAGGAAGGTTACAAGGGCAGCTAGGGGCTGTTCTAGTCCTCCAGGAGAGAGGGTCATGCCCCCACTAGAGCCTTATATTAGAGATTATGGAAAGGGTCATCTTGGGATGTGTTTTATAGTGGAGCCCACTGTATTTGCTTATATGCAGTGCTTGGTGTGGAGTGAAAAGTAAAAAGTGACTCCTGTGTTCTTGAGAACTCTGTAAAAAATGTCATTGTTTTAGTAAAGATTAGGAGGTATCATGGGCTGCATTGTTTTTACCCAAATTTGTATGTTGAAATCCTATCCCTGTACCTCAGAATATGATTGTGTTTGGAAAGAATTTCTTTTTATAGAGGTACCTAAATGAAAATTAGGCTATTAAGATGGTCCCAATCTAATCAGACTCCTGTTGTTATAAGAAAGGAACTTTTGGTCACATGGAGGGACACCAGGGGTGCATGTGTACAGAGAAACCCATGTGTGAAGACAAAACAAAAAAATAGCCAAGTCAAAGGGAAGAAGAGACATCTTAGAAGAACTGAACCTGTTAACACCTTGATCATGGGCTGTGAGTCCCCAGAACTGTGAGAAAATCAATTTCTGTTGTTAAATTACACAATGTGTGGTATTTTTTCAGGAGAGACATAACAAATTATGTCAGGGGAGAGCAGTTTTAAGACGCAGAAATCAAGACTCTTGTTTGAGACAATATATGTTTGCATCCATACTAGAAGGCAAGTGGATTGTTGAGAGCTTCAGCTGACTGAAACATGCCTGAGCTCTTGCTGCAGACCTGCTCCTTTCTTTGACCCACCCTCACTCACTGATAGAGTCTCTTTCGGCTCTTCTGTCACCTCCGTTTATTTGTATGTGAAGAGTTCATAGCTGATATTTATTCTTCCCTAATACACTAATCTCTTTCACTCATTGCTGACCTAGGAAAATGTCAGAGAAAGGGCCTGAGCTGAGTGATATTTGAAGGCAATGCCTCCTGTCTTCCTGTACTCACCAAGCCAAGGCAGAGTCTCTTTCTTTCACCAGGACTACCACTTCTACAGCAACCTATGCAATGAGGGAAGGCTGCAAAGCACTCCCGTCTGCTCCTTCCCTCTGATCATCCTTTCCTACTTGAAGGTCTACTGTAAGTCACTAGGCAGGACCATTTATCTCCAGTTTCTCTGTCCAAATGGAGTGTGTAGAAACCAATGACCATCATTCCAATAACATTAGCATGCCTGCTAGGCCAAGCAAATACTCTATGTCCCCCATAAAGCACATAAAGTCAAACTGCAACTGTTTTATTATTGGATAGCCAAAGAAGAATTTCTAACTGGTAATATATTTCCTCTTTAGCAAACATCCCTAATATTCTAGAGGAGTGGGGGAGGAAAACAACAATCTGCCTGATCACCAGCCGATGGCAGAGAAATCTGCAACAAACTTCATTGTATGAGGAGGCCTTCCAATAATATAAGGGGTATCCAAACTGTTTTTGGAAAATACATATTATTTTTTAAAAGTTTGCATTGATATAAACATTTTTTGTACAAAAGTACATTTGTACTAACTTGTTACATGTCTGAACAAGATCTAGTTCAGTTACTAACATGATTGAGAAAGCAGTTTGAAAACAGCTTCTATCAGAGCAACAAAAATTCCACTAAAATTTTAGGAAGAACAAATATCAAGTTTATGGTGAAGCTTGGGTGGAGAGATGGTGACATCACTGATGCATTAGGAAATATTTGTGGCCAAGTAAATCGGACCTTCACAAATGGATAACTCACTTTAAGAAGCAATGAGAGGAGATCCTTCCAAGATGGCCGAATAGGAACAACTCCAGTCTACAGCTCCCAGTGTGAGTGACGCAGAAGACAGGTGATTTCTGCATTTCCAACTAAGGCACCAAGTTCATCTCACTGGGACTGGTTAGACAGTGGGTGCAGCCCATAGAGTGTGAGCTGAAGCAGGGCGGGGCATTGCCTCACCAGGGAAGTGCAAGGGGTCAGGGAATTCCCTTTCCTAGCCAAGGGAAGCCATGAGAGACAGTACCTGGAAAATTGGGACACTATTGCCCTAATACTGCGCTTTTACATGGTCTTAGCCAACGGCACACCAGGAGATTATATCTTGTGTCTGGCTCAGTGGGTCCCATGCCCACAGAGCCTTGCTCACTGCTAGCACAGCAGTCCTAGATCAAACTGGGAGGTGGCAGTGAGGCTGGGGGATGGGCAGCCACCATTGCTGAGGCTTGACTAGGTAAACAAAGAGGCTCGGAAGCTCAAACGGGGTGGAGCCCACTGCAGCTCAATGAGGCCTGCCTGCCTCTGTAGACTCCACTTCTGGGAGCAAGGCACAGGTGAACAAAAGGCAGGAGAAACTTCTGAAGTCTTAAATGTCCCTGTCTGACAGCTTTGAAGAGAGTAGTTGTTCTCCCAGCACAGAGTTCGAGGGCTCAGAATGGACACATTGCCTCCTCCAGTGGGTCCCTGACCACCGAGTAGCCTAACTGGGAGACATCTCCCAGTAGGGGCCGACTGACACTTCATACAACCAGGTGCCCATCTGGGACAAAGCTTCCAGTGGAAGGATCAGGCAGCAACATTTGCTGTTCTGCAATATTTGCTGCTCTGCAGCCTCTGCTGGTGATACCCACGCAAACAGGGTCTGGAGTGGACCTCCATCAAACTCCAGTAGAACTGCAGCTCAGGGTCCTGACTGTGAGAAGGAAAACTAACAAACAGAATGGAATAGCATCAACATCAACAAAAACAACATCTGCACCAAAACCCCATCTGTACATCACCATCATCAAAGACCAAAGGTAGATAAAACCACAAAGATGGGGAGAAACCAGAGAAGAAAAGCTGAAAATTCTAAAAACCGAGCATCTCTTCTCCTCCAAAGGATCGCAGCTCCTTGCCAGCAATGGAACAAAGCTGGACAGAAAATGACTTTGACAAGTTGACAGAAGTAGGCTTCAGAAGAATGGTAATAACAAACTTCCCTGAGCTAAAGGAGGATGTTTGAACCCATCACAATGAAGCTAAAAACCTTGAAAAAAGATGAGAAGAATGGCTACCTAGAATAAACAGCATAGAGAAGACCTTAAATGAACTGATGGAGCTGAAAACCATGGCACGAGAACTACATGACACATCCACAAGCTTCAGTGGCTGATTTGATCAAGTGGAAGAAAGGGTATCAGTGATGGAAGACCAAATGGAAGAAATGAAGTGAGAAGAAAGCTTAGAGAAAAAAGAGTAAAAAGAAACAAAGCCTCCAAGAAATATGGGACTATGTGAAAAGACCAAATCTACATTTGATTGGTGTATCCGAAAGTGATGGGGAGAATGGAACCAAGTTGAAAAACACTCTGCAGGATATTATCCAGGAGAACTTCCTCAACATAGTAAGGCAGGCCAATATTCAAATTCAGGAAATACAGAGAACGCCACAGAGACACCCCTCGAGAAGAGCAACCCCAAGACACATAATTGTCAGATTCACCAAGGTTGAAATGAAAGAAAAAATGTTAAGGGCAGCCAGAGAGAAAGGTCAGGTTACCCACAAAGGGAAGCCCATCAGACTAACAGCTGATCTCTCGGCAGGAATTCTACAAGCCAGAAGAGAGTGGGGACCAATATTCAACATTCTTAAACAGAAGGATTTTCAACCCAGAATTTCATATCCAGCCAAACTAAGCTTCATAAGTGAAGGAGAAATAAAATCCTTTACAGGCAAGCAAATGCTGAGAGATTTTGTCACCATCAGGCTTGCCTTACAAGAGCTCTTGAAGGAAGCACTAAACATGGAAAGGAACAACCGGTACCAGCAACAGCAAAAACATGCCAAATTGTAAAGACTATCATTACCAGGAAGAAACTGCATCAACTAATGTGCAAAATAACCAGCTAACATCATAATGACAGGATCAAATTCACACATAACAATATTAACCTTAAATGTAAATGGGATAAATGCTGCAATTAAAAGACACAGACTGGCAAATTGGATAGAGTCAAGACCCATCAATGTGCTGTATTCAGGAGACCCATCTCATGTGCAGACACACATAGGTTCAAAATAAAGGGATGGAGGAAGATCTACCAAGTAAATGGAAAACAAAAAACGCAGGGGTTGCAATCCTAGTCTCTGATAAAACAGACTTTAACCAACAAAGATCAAAAGAAACAAAGAAGGCCATTACATAATGGTAAAGGGATCAATTCAACAAGAAGAGCTAACTATCTTAAATATGTATGCACCCAATACAGGAGCACTCAGATTCATAAAGCAAGTCCTTAGAGACCTACAAAGAGACTTAAACTCCCACACAATAATAATAGGAGACTTAACACCCCTCTGTCAACATTAGACAGATCAACAAGACAGAAAGTTAACAAGGATATCCAGGACTTGACCTCAACTCTGCACCAAGCAGGCCTAATAGACATCTACAGATCTTTCCACCCTAAATCAACAGAATATACATTCTTCTCAGCACCACACCACACTTATTCCAAAATTGACCACATAGTTGGAGGTAAAGCACTCCTCAGCAAATGTAAAAGAACAGAAATCATAAAAAACTGTCTCTCAGACCACAGTGCAATCAAATTAGAACTCAGGATAAAAAACTCACTCAAAACCACACAACTACACGCAAACTGAACAACCTGTTCCTGAATGATTACTGGGTACATAACGAAATGAAGGCAGAAATAATGATGTTCTTTGAAGCCAATGAGAACGAAGACACACTGTACCAGAATCTCTGGGACACATTTAAAGCAGTGTGGAGAGGGCAATTTATAGCACTAAATCACAGGAGAAAGCAGGAAAGATCTAAAATCCGTACCCTGACATCACAATGAAAAGAAATAGAGAAGCAAGAGCAAACACATTCAAAAGCTAGCAGAAGGCAAGAAGTAACTAAGATCAGAGCAGAACTGAAGGAGATAGAGACAGAAAAAACCCTTCAAAAAATAGTTGAATCCAGGAGCTGGTTTTTTGAAAAGATCAACAAAATTGACAGACTGCTAGCAAGACTAATAAAGAAGAAAAGAGAAGAATCAAATAGATGCAATAAAAAATGATAAAGGGGATATCACCACCGATCCCACAGAAATACAAAC